>NC_000011.10:39908484-40060000 GCF_000001405.40 Homo sapiens | reverse complement strand
TGAATAAGCAATAATTTTGAGACCATAAATGTTTGATCAAGTATTCCGTGTCAGTGATAATTTATATCAGCTCATTTTTTTTGACTTTGTGATGATTTTTACTTAACTCTATGAAGTTTATGGGAATATATCCATTGTTGTTACTTTATATATAGACACAGCAACTGAACTTAAGAAAGTTTGATTGAATTACTAAATGTCACAATGGCAATAATTGACAGATTTTTTTAAGCTAGAAAGGCTAACCTTTCAACCACTTCAACACTTTCCACTTCACACCAAGCCTCTCATAGGATTGGCATGTAGATAAAAGCCAAGACCGTGGACTCCACCTTACCTTCTTCACTTCTTAAAAATCAACATTTATGCTAAACAACAAAATAGATAATGTACTACTGCTGCTTTAATGCTTATACAGTAAAGTAGAATTACTGTGACTCCCCTTTAATCCTGATGTGTGGCATTCTTATATGTATGCTCCTGTTAAGCATACAAAAAGCTAGATTTGCTTTGGGTTAATTGGTATAAATTGGGTTAATCTTTTTGAGCAGAGATTATGTGGCTCTCGTGCAATGGAGGACTTAATTAATTTTGTGAAGCAAGACAGCATTCTGTCATTAAGGTTATTTCTTTATTTTTCCCATCTTTGTCTCCAGCCTCACTCCCAATTCTCCTGTTGTGCCGTGTTAAAGTATAACAGACAGCATGTGTTTTCAAACATATTTGTCTATTGTATGATGCTAAAATCAGGGCATTTTTGTATTAATTTTCAGTAAGGTGTTTTATATTTTACCTGATTGCCTGTTTCACCCCTTTGGAGAATTTAGTCAAAAAACTAGTCTTGTCTCCACTATTTATTGCAGAGAAGAATCACTGACGGCTTGCGGTCAAAGAAACTATTTCAGGGTTAGGGTACGGCTCAAGCCTCAGGATGCATATGTTCTGCCCTGACCCTGTCATTCAACGTAGTAATATGATTCTGGCAGTTACATATATATGCTCTTCTCCCTAGAGGAATGGGAGGGGAGCCTGGTCAAGATGGTTTAATTTAAATGGCTTAGGTAGTGATTTCTCAAGAGTTCCAGGGTGTAATATCAAGCCTTAATATCCCAAAGACCTTGAGTTTGGTATGCACTCTTTGAAGAGGCTTGATTTGGTTCATACATTCACTTCTTTCTTCATGACTCAGAAGAGGGCTAATTTACCTTTAATCTCAGATAACAATCCTGATTTATTTAAGACAATGAGTGTTCCCAATCCCTTTGCCATTGATGGTTTAGGGATAGGTGTGTGTATTCAATTCCATCAAATGAGACAAGTGGAAGGACAGTGGAGGTATTCTAGGGAAATGAGATGACCATGATGTGAAATTTGTTTCTGTGACACCTGTCAGATGAATATAAGGGGGAACTAGCATGAAGATGAAGCTGAAATGCTGAGGAACACAAAGAAGAGACATCTAAGAAAAGATAGCCTTCGGTCACATCATTGAGCTGCATAACCAACCAGTCATGAAATCTGTCTAACCTTTGCTCTTCCTGTTATGTGAGTTGATGCATTTCCATATTGTTGAGGCCAGTCTGACTCTGGGTTTTCTCATACTGCTCACAGCAACCCAACTGATGCAGGGTATTAGTACGGAAATGCTAGGCTATGCTGCAGTGAGAAATTAACTCCTATATCTCAGTCCCTGAACATAATAAAGAATAAATTATTGCTTACTCTGGTTTCATATAGGTCTGACATGCTTTCTTTATCATGTTCGTATGCCACCTAGAATACATGGCTTTCAAGGCTGCTTTGTAACAGAGAGTTGAAGGGTTTGGCAAGATGCTTTTAAGGGCTAGGCTTGAAAGTAACTTGTGTTACATCCACTGTTGCTTTTCCAGTGGCCAGAATCCAGTCACATAGGTCCAACATAACTGTAAGAGAGGCTAGAAGATGGGGTCCTCCTGTGTTCGCAGGAAAAGGGTATGGTATGATGAGCCTACAGCATTGTATCTTCCATATATACGGATAAGAGAGAATTGTCAAATAGCTTGAAACATGGCTGAACACAAAACATGATGCATTAGTGAGGGATTTGAAAAAGAGAAAGAAAGATTGTTTTAAATTAGCTCACAGTTGTAGAGGCTGTCGAGTCTGAATTTGCAGGACAAGCTGGCAGGCTGAATACCCAGGGAAGAGCTGATGTTGCAGCTGGAGTCTGAAGAGGATCCTCAGACTTTTTGTCCTAAGGCCTTCAACTGATTGGATGAAGCCACCCACATTTGGAGGGTAATCTGCTTTACTCCAAGTCTACTGACATAAGTGTTAATCTCATTAAAAAAAAAAAAAAAAAAACTCTTTATAGTGACAATCTGACATTTGATCAAATATCTGGGTACTTTGGCCTAGCCAAGCTAATACATAAAATTAACCATCACACCCGATAACACTTGAAATCAGCTACACACACTTTGAAACAGAAATCACCAATTCATTCATTTTCAGGAAAGTTACCACTAGCATATCCAGTCATAACCATCTGACTCTTATCTCTTGCCTTATGAAGTGGTAGTGAGACAGTCCTCTGATATACATTAATACTGATATGTTACTGATTCAGGTTCTCAGTTTCCCAGGTATGGAAACTTGGTGGCAAGGTTCTGCAGCACAGAACAGAGTATCTTCATAATAAAACTCAGCAAAGACTGCTTTATAAGTTAATGCCAGTGTCACCATCTTAAGTATTATCAAACCAAAAACAAAGCATTATCATTGACTAGTCTGTGACTTACACTATTTTTTCACTGATAAATTTTAATCATATATATTTCAGGGGTACAGAGTGATGTTGTAACGTGTATACACTGTGGAATGATTGAATCAAGCAAATTATCATATCCATCACTTCAAATACTGATTATTTATTGTTCCTAACTGAAACTTTGTATCCCTTGACAAACATCTCATTACCCCCATTCCCCAGTCTCTGGTAACCATCATTCCACTGTCTGCTTCTATGAGCTAGATTCTTTTACATTCTACACATGGCAGTTTTCTTTATTTGCTTTTCTTATTTTACTTAGAATAATGTCCTCCAGGTTCATCCATGTTATAGCAAATGACAGATTTTTAAGGTTAAATATTATGTCATTTTCTATTTATCTATATAAAGATACCACATTTTCTTTACCATTTCATCCAATGATGAACACTTAGGTTGATTCTATAACTTAGCTCTTCTAAATAGTTTCAACAAACATGAGAGTACAAATATCTCTTCAATATACTGATTTCAGATCTTTAAGATATATACCCAGAAGTGAGATTGCTAGATTATATGGTAGTTCTCTTATTCGTTTTTTAAGAAACTTCCCTACTGTTTTTCATAATGGCTATATTAATTTACATTCCCACCAACAGCGTGCAAGTTTTCCCTTTTCTCCACAGGCTTACTCTACTTTAAACATGGAAGCCTGCTTTGTAAACTCAGCTAAGTTTAGTAATGTGATTGGTAGAGTATGAATCAGGCAAAAGAATTCAATAATAATAAAAAGTTATAGTAGTCTGGTAAACCATGCTGATCCAAACATCTGGTGAGTTTTGTATTTGGTATTCCTGCACCCCTTTCCCTTGGCTCTGCTGACAGATGTTCTAGACACATTTCATCATTACTTCCTCTTTTCCATAATTTCCAGTAATCAAATGCCAGTAGCTTTTCTTGGATTCTATCCTTATGTCAACTTTTCTAATTTCAAAACATTTTCACAGCACAATATGGTTTCCAAGTTTGTGCCCTTAAATTCTTTTTCCTGTGTGGGTATCATAGAAATACACATATGCTGGAATTTTATGCAAAGGCAGCACATGATTGGGGAGCAATTACTGTGCATATGCATAGGAGAAAAATGAAAAATAGATTATTTGAATACATAAAAATTTAAGATGTCTGCACAAACACAATTTTATACATATTCAAATAAAGCTTTTTCATTATTTTTTCAGTAAATAGGTTTTTTGTTAATTGTAATTATAAAAATGTATACCCTGCAATATATTCTAAATATTGTCATAAAAAATTTCCATTTTATCATTTTTCTATATTAAAAATCACTTTGAATACTAAAGAAAGAAAAGAAAATATCAATTGAAAGTTTTGGAAAGAGTTTGAAAAGGGTGAAGGATCTAGCACTAAAAAAATCTGTCAGTGTATACAAATAATAATTATAACAAGGAAAGGTTATATATTTTTCTCCACTTTTAATTAAAAATGAGTGTTAATTTACACTTATATTTCTATTTGTGTGTCTATAAACTTCATAACCAGGTATTTGAGACAAGCCTGGCCGACATGGTGAAGCCCCATCTCTACTAAAAAATACAAAAATTAGCCAGGCGTAGTGGTGGGCACCTGTAATCTCAGCTACTCGGGAGGCTGAGACAGGGATAATTGCTTAGATTTGGGAGGCAGAGGTTGCAGTGAACTGAGATTGTGCCATTGCACTCCAGCCTGGGTGACAGAGCAAGACTGTGTCTCAAAAACTAAATAAACAACAACAAAAACAAAGACTGCCTGATTTTCTAAAGTTGATGCTGTCAGTGAGATTAACCAGTTTTGTACTGTTGATCATTCGGTCACTTGACTTTTAACAAAAAACCACAATCATGAGATGACAACATTTTCACATATTGTATGTGTTATTATATAATTTACTTGATTATAGTCATAGAAAATATATCAGTTGATCAATGACTATAGCATTTTAAAGATTGCTAACCCATTTTTGTCAAGTTAGTCTTACCCAATGGACTTTTCAAATGTACGCTCTCATCAGAAATATATGTCAGTGTTGGTGGTAGGCTGATTTCAGAAAAGGTGCCACTTCTCCACAATCCCCTTGCAATGTGACTTTGCAGAGTAGATTTGTGTTGCCATTCCTTGAAACTGGGCTGGTCTTGTGACTCGCCATGGCCAATAGAATGTTGAAAAAAATGAAAGTATGTTTGTTCTAAAACTGGACTTCAAGAGGTCCTTGTCACCCCTGCTCTTTCTCTTAAAATCTTGTCTCCACCATGATAATAAGCTTGGGATTGGCTGAGGGAGGATGACAGAACAAGTAGACTGAATTTTCCCCACTGAGTTAATCATAGACCAGCCCAGAGCCAGCCCAGCCTAGCCCAGCAGAACTGCCCATCTGACTCACAGTTCAATCAAAGAGCCAAGCTCTTGTCAGAAGAACTGCTCAGATAGCCCATAGAGTGTGAGCAAAAATAAATTTTTCTTTTTCCATTCCACTGAAGTTTTGTGGGTGTTTTCTTTGGCAGCATTATTGCAGCATTAGATAGTGTCCAATTTACTACATTCTCACCAGTATCAGATATTTTATATATTAAATTGTTAGGCAAAAATAGAACCTTATTCTTTAAAAATCTAAGTGTCGAATAGGTCAGATTTCTGGTAATTCAAGTCCTCAGATATGATTACGTGTTTGGAACAACTGAACAAAGACATAGACTACAGAGGCTAGCATTGGTATGTTCAAAAATTTTTATTGCATAGGACCCATATCAGACTTTCATATATCATTAATCTAAAAAATATAAATATAACCAACCATTAATTTTTGGCTTAGATTTTCAAATATAATGTCATTTCAGATAAGATTGTGACAAAATATTAAAACACATACACATTAGCTAACATTTGACAAAATCTCAATTTAACATGTTTTGGATGATGATTCTGGATTTGGGTAAGGTTTTGATTCTTCCATTTTAAAACATTTGTATGGTAGAATAGCAAATAGGTTTTGAGTTTTAAAAAATGAAGTTACATATTAAAACAAGAAGATAAAGAAAAAATAGAGATTTTTTTTCTTCTGAATTTTTGTATTATGAGAATGCAGAATGCTGCAGCACCAAATGTGAACACAAGATGTGTCACTGTCTATGCTCAGGGAAGCAACTAAAATAATGCCGTATGTTTATTAATAGAATGCCAGCTGTGTTTAAAACAGAGAGGTAGAGGTAGCAGAGTACAAGCCCATTTTTGTCAGGATGTATATTTTAAATGTATCTTCCATTTTAGCACTGGGGAATGAAAATTGAGTCAGGTTTGTGCTACATGTAGGTTAGGTCTGTATATTGGAAAACCAGTGAGAAAAGAAGAAAAAAATAGTCACGGAAGGTGACTAGCCATTAATTAAGAGCAGTGACAGGAGGATTGCAAAAACCAGGGCATGAATAGTAAGTAATATCCAGAAAAGGGTTCCAAAAATAACTGTTAGGAAAAATAGAAGTCCATAAATATGTAGACTTTAGAGCAAAGAAGATAAGAAATTAGAGTTTAGCTCATGTGCCAAACACACCATTAGAGTTCCCAACCTATTTGCAGCATAACCTCCTTTATTTATCCCACTGACCCCCAGCATTCCCTGTATTGCTAGAGTACTCCTCACATGACTCTATCATACCACTGTCACACTACCTTACATAGTGTAAACTAATTGCATATTAATGTGACTGTCTCCTTCATTAGATGATAAAAATCTCTGGGGGGCAATAATCTTCTATGAACAAATCCTGTATTCTCAATTACTTACAAGGTGCTTTGTGCATGACAGGGTGCTCAAAACTGCGTTTTTGAATAGATAAATGAATGTCTAGGCAGAAAAACGGAAGTACTGCCATGTAGGCTCTAAGGTGCCACAATACAACAGTGAGAAAGGAAATCAAGACAGTGTTTGAGATGCCTCTTGTTACTGAAGTTTGAGATAAGGTGGGTTAGGTGTCCAGGCATGGCAGGAAAAAGAAAAATATGAGAGAGCAGCATCCAGGAAATACTAAGTCCCAATCTTGACATGGTCAGTAATTCCTGCTTAAGAAGTGCATGGCCCTAAAGCATCAACCATCTAGAAGTCAGAAAGTAGATGGGGTAAATGACTGCACGTGATTCTACAATTCAGTGAAGCACTTTAATACTTTGATGTATTGATCTCCCTCTGTCCAATTAAAAGTTTCATAAGGACTATCACTTTTTTTAGTAAAGGCATTTTAATAACCATCATTGCAACCGTGTTCCCTTGATGAGAATATAAAACTGCATGCCAATTTAGCTTCTTAAGCTTAGTACAATGCCACATTCCCCATAAAGCTTATTTTGACTCCATGTAGGATGACAATGAGTCATTAGAAGCACAATCTCCCATCTAGTTCTGAGGTCTCCTTCTGTCATTAGCAAAACAACTTGGATGGGTAGCATAGAGATCTGCAGTCATCAGAAGGATGCTGGGCACCTTCTCTGAGCAACTCTAGATAAACTTCTGCTTTCTCTGGCCCAATCTTCCTACTTACACTGGGATTTAGTTATAAAAATGAGTTTGGCTTCAACTTCAGGTCCTGTTACAGGGGAAGTTTGAGCTTGAGAGAAGAAGACAGCACTTCAAAGGCTGGGGATGGGGTTTGCCCATCCCTACTAAGATGCTGTAGAGTCTATGCTGTCCTGAAAGCTTAGGAGAGGGAAGTGTGAGGAACCTTAGGTTAAGGCCATCAGGGTAGAGTAACATTACAGTTGTAGATTTCTAAGAATCAGTCTGCGTTGGTTTATGCTGAGTTGGTAATGAAACCTGGCATATGGTCACAATGAATTGCTTCAGCAAAGGGCTGTTTTACATTTTTGTTTTAAACCATGTTTCTGTAGTGCCATTGCTTTTGACCTCCCATTGTTCAGGAGTTTGGGGAACATACAAATAGTCATTTCCTTGAAGAACACAGAAAAAATGCATTTAAGCAAATTAGAAAGCAGTATATGAAATTATGTAATTTAGAGCTTGAGTAGTGCTGGGGTAGGCTAGGAGTAATCAGGACGGGCTTCCCAGTGGGGTGATATTTTATCTTCTTTCAAACAATGAGAGACGTGTTTAAGCAAGAAGGAAAAAGTAAATTCTGAGGATTCAGGCACAGAAATAATCAGAACAGAAAACAAAAACCTAGAAAAATGTTGACATGTATGAAAAAATATATTATATTCTTACTATATAAAGAATGCTTAGATATTAGGCAAAAGATTAATAAATCAATAGAAAAACTAAGATCATATATAGCAAATTGTCAGGTGAAGTAATATAAATAACTCTTAAATATATAAAAGATGCTCGTTGAATTTTAAACATTGACATTTAAAAGTGAGTAGGGTATCAATGTTTTACATACAGTATCGAAAAGATTGGTAACACCCCATATTGACAAAGACTTGAAGATATAGACACTCTTATCCTATATGTGAATTGATAGAATTGTTCAAGTGTTTATTAATGACAATTTCTCAGTCCTACCCTGACTATCCTGTTTAAAATTGCACCCAGCCAACACCCCATCAACTTTCAACTTGGGGCTATTTACTTTTGCCAAATAATTCACTATTATTAAATATAATATGTAGTATATTTATTTATTATAGTTGTTTTTCTCCCCTCACTATAATAATGTACTCCATGAGCACAGATTTTAAGGTGTTTGATTCACTATCTGAATCATCTAAAATCATGCCTGGTACACAGAACATGCTGAATGCATAAAAGTGAATGGATTACCGTGTACAAAATCTATAAATGTTCATTTTTTTAATTTTTAATTTTTTGAGACAGTCTCGCTCTGTCACCCAGGCTGGAGGGCAGTGGCCCTATCTTGGTTCACTGAAACCTCCACCTACCGGGTTCAAGTGATTCTCATGCCTCAGACTCCCTAGCAGCTGGGATTACAGGTGCCTGCCACCACGTCTGGTTAATTTTTGTATTTTTAGTAGAGAATGAGGTTTCACCACATTTGCCAGGCTGGTCCTGAACTCCTGACATCAAGTAATCTGCCTGCCTCAGCCCTCCAAAGTGCTGGGATTATAGGCATGAGCCACAGTTCCAGGCCAAATGTTCATATATTTTGACCCACTAATCTTAGCAAGCTATGCAGAGAAAATAAGATAAATGTGCAAGAGTATTCACAGGAATGTTTATTACAGTGTTACTTATAATAACAAAAAACAAAATCTTAAATGTCCATTAATACAAAATTAGTTTAATAAATTGGCATTTCATGCCAAGAATCGAAATATGGCTGTGATAACACCTACATATACTAAAACAGAAAGATATGACTAAGAAGTTAAAATTTATTAAAAATAAATGACAAATTAATAGGCACAATATACAAATAGCTGTTGAAAGGTCTAGAAGAATATGAATATGGCATATTTTTTGTAAATATGGATGTAATTTTACATTTTTCTAGCTGGGTGCAGTGGCTCACCCTATAATCCCAGCACTTTGGGAGGCCAAGGCGAGCGGATCATCTGAGATCAGGAGTTTGAGACCAGCCTGACCAACATGGAGAAACCCCATCTCTACTAAAAATACAACATTAGTTGGGCGTAGTGGTGTATGCCTGTAATCCCAGCTACTTGGGAGGCTGAGGCAGGAGAATCTCTTGAACCTGAGATGTGGAGGTTGCCGTGAGCCGAGATCATGCCATTGCACTCCAGCCTGGGCAACAAGAGCAAAACTCCATCTCAAAAAAAAAAAAAAAAAAAGAAAGAAATTTACATTTTTCTTTATCTAACTTCATATTGTTTGTTTTTTTATATTAAGCCTGAATAATATTAAGGAAAACTATGTGAAGGCATAACATTTTGACACATCTTAAAATACCAAAAAAATTTTAACATTTTGTAATGAAGAAAACGTTCTTTTTGGTGTTTTAGACATAAAAGTACATTGCTCCTACAGGTGTAACTTACCTTTCATTTAATTTTGCAAATATCTAATCAGACCAGTTTTAGAATTACAAAACAAGCAAACAAAACTCTTTGGGATAACATTTTTATGAGTAAGCAAAACAGTAAATTTTGACCACTCTGAACTATTATAATTCACTCGTTTATAAAATGAAAATAATAATGCCTCTATTAGAGGTTATGAGAACAAAAGGAAAGCTTATTAAGAAAGACTACAAAGTACCTGCTGTGTGGTATGCACTAGAGAAATAAGTTCCCTTTCCACATGCACTCCCTTCCTTCTCTTTACAATCTTCTGGCTGAAGGGAAAAAAAAGTTACTGTTGAAATTTTTGCCTGAAAAGCTCTCATACACTGATCTTATAAGGTGGCTAAGAAAAGCATCCTGGTTCACTATAGAGTAGAGTAGTGATTCTTTTAATAAGCATTTATGCATCCTTGTATGTGTCATTGGTCTATGAAGTCATCAGGAATCATAATATCTGACTATTGTAAACATTGATAGGATAAACAAACTTTAAAAGATATTCAATGTTAAACATAGAAAAGTATTTAATAACATGATTCTGCTCTCGAAATGATTAAATAGAAGTCACTTAGCAAGTGAAACCTGAAAACAGAGCAGGAATCTGCTCCTGCCAACAAGGAGTTGGCTTGCAGGAACCCTGAATCCATTGGTATACACTTGCTGCTTTTATCCACTATCAGGTCAAGACACTCTAACACCAACTGCATGGAGATAAAAGGCTGAATATCTTACTACCAACTCCCTTGAGCCCTGTGGCCAAATCTTTTTGTGATTTGAGCTTAATTACCTTGAAAAAGGTACATCAGTTTTATGAAGTTACAACTAAAACTATTTAAATCTTCCCTTGTATGAAACGTGCTGAGACAAGCTTGTTTGTGGAGACCCTAACCCAGCCCAGCAGTGCTAGAGGAATTAAAGACACACACAGAGAAATATAGAGTGTGGAGTGGGAAATCAGGGATCTCACAGCCTTCAGAGCTGAGAGCCTCGAACAGAGATTTACCCACATATTTATTGACAGAAAGCCAGTCATAAGATTTACTGAAAGTATTCCTTACAGGAAATAAAGGGATGGGCAGAAATAAAGGGATGGGCTCTGACTAGTTATCTGCAGCATGAATATGTCCTTAAGGCACAGATCGCTCATGCTATTGTTTGTGGTTTAAGAACAACTTTCCGCCCTGGGTGGGCCAGGTGTTCCTTGCCCTCATTCCCGTTAACCCACAATCTTCCAGCATGGGCGTCAAGGCCATCACGAGCATGTCACAGTGCTGCAGAGATTTTGTTTATGGCCAGTTTTGGGGCCAGTTTATGGTCAGATCTGGGGGCCTGTTCCCAACAAAATGGGTCTATAGGTTGAATTCTAAACCATTATTATTTCTCCAGCTTTGTAAAAGTCAAGTGGTTCATTTCTTTAAGGAAACACAAAATGCCAAGTAAAATTGTCATTCCCAAGCCCATAATTGGTATCAAATAATAATAAAAGAGAAATACTTACATTTTTTATTGATGGAACCCTAAAGAAAAACTACTTACCAGGGCATGTGATTCCTAAGGCCCTTAAAATTTCTATTAAGTAGAAAATCTTTTTGTTCGTATTGACCTCAGTGATTTTAACAGATGAAACCACTAAAATTTTAGTTTTAAATTGTAGTAATATTATATTTCAACATGAAATTTGACCATAGTGCTTAAATATTTTTAGGTCATTGAGTGTACCACAGTTCTTGAGATCAATGCTACTCTCTCTAGAGCAAATTCAAGAGTTAGAAAATATGTAGTATTCAGTGTGTTTAGCTGTGAATTACAGTGGAGTGATGGATGTTATCCTCCTAGCGTTAGGCCACCAACTGGGTGAATTGCCTGTGTAGACTCGGTGTTTTCTTAACACTCTTTTCACCTTCACAAAAGGCAATTACAGTTTCCCTTTTCTCATTACAAAAGCAGTCAAATGAATTGCCTGATTATTAGGTTTATATGAATGACTCTTTAAGATATTTAGCAGTTAACTGTCCTTAAAAAAAATGGAAATGATTTAGTAGAGAGATTTGAGAGTTTGCCATTTGAGTTAGGAGAATAATGGCATTAGTAATACTGTGCAAAGAATTTCTCTGTTGATTTCTATGTTGTCTAAAACAGATGACCCAGAGACCAAAATTTGATTCTGCACTGAACTAGCTACTTAAGCAAAATAAACTTCTTTCTACAATAATATTTCAGTTAAATAAATGTTGTAAAATAAGATGATTAATAGGATTTTCTCTGTATTCCATTAACTCACCTATGCTGTGGGACTGCTGAGACAAAGAGGATCTTGTTAAGAACAGACATATGGAGCTTTTCATCTTGACTGAATTCTTTGCTTGCAGGTCTGTTTTTGATCCTACGTATCCTTGTAGCATTTTTTTCCAGCTGATTTTATAAGTATCTGTCACAAAATTTGGCACTTTATTGTGTATGCTTTTTCTCTATAATATTTTAGGAACTCATATATGTATCCTTTTTAAAAAACATATTCCTCATCCTTAAAATGTGAAAAGTAAAAAAAAAAATAGAAACAAATATAGAAAAATATTCCAAAAACTTATTAATAATCTAGATTCATTAAATTTTAGCTTACTCAAATATCCCTCTGAAATCACATGACCCTGTCCTTCAACTCAAGATATAGTACAGTATCTCTCACTTTTTATTAAGGTTCTATTAAACATACATGAGTACATCCCCCAGAACCTTATCAGTTTTTTGAAAAGAGGGATATTAGACATAGGTATACCTCATTTGATTGAGCTTTATTCTGTTGTGCTTCACAGATATTGTATTTTTTGGTACATTTTTGTTTGTTTACAAATTGAAGGTTATGGCAACCTTTCATTGAGCAAGTCTATCCGTGCCATTTTTCTAAAAGCATGTGCTCACTGCTTGTCTTTTGTATCACATTTTGGTAATTCTCACTATATTTCCATTTTTAAAAATTGTATCTGTGTTTAGGATGATCTGTGATCATTGATTTTGATGTTACTAGTGTATTGTTTTGGGGCACCATGAACTGTGTCCATATAAGACTGAAAACTTGGCTGGGCGCGGTGGCTCATGCCTTTAAACCCAGCACCTTGGGAGGCTGAGGTGGGCAGATCACCTGAAGTCAGGAGTTTGAGACCAGCCTGGCTAACATGGTGAAACCCCGCCTCTACTAAAAGTACAAAAAAATTAGCTGGATATGGTGGTGTGTGCCTGTAATCCCAGCTACTCAGGAGGCTGAGGCAGGAGAATCACTTGAACCTGGGAGGTGGAGGTTGCAGTGAGTCGAGATTTTTCCACTGCGCTCCAGCCTGGGAGACAGAGCTGGACTCCATCTCAGGAAAAAAAAAAGACTAGAAACTTAATAAATATGGGGTGTTTTCTTGCTACTGCACCAGCCAGCTCTTCCCCCATCTCTCTTCCTCTCTTAGGGCCTCCCTATTCCTTGAGACACAACAAAATTGAAATTATGGCAATTAATAACCCTACAATGGCCTCTAAATGTTCACATGAAAGGAAGAGTCACAGTTCTATCATTTTAAGTCAAAAGCTAGAAATGAGGCAGGGTGCAGTGCCTCATGCCTATAATCCCAGCACTTTGGAAGGCTGAGACGGGAGGATCACATGAGGCCAGGAGTTTGAGACCAGCCTGGCCAACATGGTGTAACCCTATCTCTATTAAAAATAAAAAAAATAGCTGGGCATGGTGGTGCACGTCTACAGTCCTAGCTACTCGGGAAGCTGAGGCATGAGAATTGCTTGAACCTGGGAGGTGGAGGTTGCAGTGAGCCAAGATTGTGCCACCACACGCCAGCCTGGATGACAGCGTGAGACTCTCTTTCTCAAAAAAAAAAAAAAAAGCTAGAAATGATTAAGCTTGGCGAGGAAGTCATGCTAAAACCTGTGATAGACTGAAAGCTAGATTTCTTGTGCCAAACAGCCAAGTAGTGAATGCAAAGGAAAAGTTTTTGAAGGGAATTAAAAGTGCTATTCCAATGAACACATGGATGGTAAGAAAGTGAAACAGCTTTATTGCTGATAAGGAGAAAGTTCCAGTGTTCTGGATCAAACCTGCCACAACATTCCCTTAAGCCAGAGCCTAATCTAGAGCAAGGCCCAACTCTTCAATTTTATGAAGGCTGTGAGAGGTGAGGAAGCTGCAGAAGAGAAGTTGGAAGCTAGCAGAGGTTGATTCAGAGATTTAAGGACAGAGATTTAAGGACATAAAAATTCAAGGTAAAGCAATAAGTGCTAATGTAGAAGCTGCAGAAAGTTATCTAAAAGATCTAGCTAAGACAATTGATGAAGATGGCTACACTTAAAAAAAATTTCAATGTAGATGAAACAGCATTTTATTGGAAGAAGATGCCATCTAGGACTTTCATAGGTAGAGAAGAGAAGTCAATGCCTGGTTTCAAAGCTTCAAAGAGTCTGACTCTCTTGTTATGCGCTAATACAGTTGGTGACCTTAAGTTGCAGCCCAAACTCATTTACCATTCTGAAAATTGTAGGTCCCTTAAAAATTATGGTAAATCTCCTCTGTCTGTGTTTTATAAGGGGAATGACAAAGCTTGGATGACAGCACATCTGTTTACAGCATAGTTTACTATTTTAAGCCCACTGTTGAGAACTGGCGCTTAGAAAAAATTTCTTTCAAAATACTACTGCTCATGGAAACTGCACCTAGTTACTGAAGAGCTCTAATGGAAACGTAAATGGAGATTAATGTTATTTTCATGACTGCTAAAACAACATCCATTCTGCAACTCATGAATCAAGGAGTCATTTTGACTTTAAATCTTCCTATTTAAGTTATGCATTTCATAAGGCCACAGCTGCCATCGATAGTGATTCCTCTAATGGATCTGGGCAAAGTAAATTGAAAACCTTCTGGAAGAATTCACTGTTCTAGATGCCCTTCAGAACATCTGTGACTGATGGGAGGAAGTCAAAATATCAACATTAACAGGAGTTTGGAAGAAGTTGATTCCAACCTTCGTGTATGATTTTAGAGTTAAGATTTCACTGGAGGCGGTCACTGCAGATATGGTGAAAATAGCAAGAGAACTAAAACTAAAGAGAAACCCGAAGATTTGACTGAATTTTTGCAGTCTCATGATAAAACTGAATAGATGAAGAGTTCCCTCTTCAGAATGACCAGAGAAAGTGGTTTCTTGAGATGGAATCTACTCCTGATAAAGATGTTACGAATATTGTTGAAATGACAACCAAGGCTTTAGAATATTATGTAAACTTAGTTGAAAAAGTAGTGGCAGGGTTTGAGAGGATTGAGTCAAAGTTTGAAAAAAAGGCTCTGTGGGTAAAATGCTATCAAATAGCATCAAATGCTACAGAGAAATCTTTTGGGAAAGGAAGAGTCATCAACATAGCAAACTTCATTGCTGTCTTAGTTTAAGAAATTGTCATAGCTACCTCAACCTTTAGTAACCACTGTACTGATCAGTCAGCATCCATCAACAGTGAGATAAGACCCTCCACCAGCAAAAAGATTATGACTTGTTGAAGGCCCAGATTATAGTATTTATTTAACAATAAAGTATTTTATATTTGGTGTGTACTTTATACTTTTTTAAAACATAATGCTATTGCACACTTAATTGTCTAACAGCAAACATAACTTCTAAGTGCACTGGGAAACCAAATAATTCACGTGACTCACTTTATTGCAATATTCACTTTCTTGTGGTGATCTAGAACTGAACCCACAGTATCTCCAAGGTATGCCTGTACATTATCAACAAGTTTTGAATGAGGTTCTTTAATATTTTTACATTTACTGGAATAACATAGGAGAGAAACCTAAAACTGTGCCCTTCCAATCAAATTCAGAGCAGTGCCTGAAAAACAAGACAGTGTCCTTAGAATAAACCTAACAGAAGAAGCTGTGAAAACCAATGAAAAATATGTATATGTGTATATATATATATGTGTGTATATATATATATGTATATATATGTGTGTATATATATATGTGTATATATACGTATATATATAGTATTATAAGTTACAGGGTACATGTGCACAACGTGCAGGTTTGTTACATATGTATACATGTGCCATGTTGGTGTGCTACACCCATTAACTTGTCATTTACGTTAGGTATATCTCCTAATGCTATCTCTGCCCCTCCCCCGACCCCAGGACAAGCCCCAGTGTGTGATGTTCCCCACCCTGTGTCCAAGTGTTCTCATTGTTCGATTCCCACCTATGAGTGGGAACATGCAGTGTTTGGTTTTCTTTCCTTGCGATAGTTTGCTCAAAATGATAGTTTCCAGCTTCATCCATGTCCCTACAAAGGACATGAACTCATCCTTTTTTATGGCTGCATAGTATTCCATGGTGTATATGTGCCACATTTTCTTAATCCAATCTATCATTGTTGGACATTGGGTTGGTTCCAAGTCTTTACTATTGTGAATAGTGCCACAATAAACATACGTGTGCATGTGTCTTCTTAGCAGCATGATTTATAATCCTTTGGGTGTATATCCAGTAATGAGATTGCTGGGTCAAATGGTATTTCTAGTTTTAGATCCTTGAGGAATCACCACACTGTCTAACACAATGGTTGAACTAGTTTACAGTCCCACCAACAGTATAAAAGTGTTCCTATTTCTCCCCATCCTCTCCAGCACCTGTTGTTTCCTGACTTTCTAATGAGCGCCATTCTAATTGGTATGAGATGGTATCTCATTGTGGTTTTGATTTGCATTTCTCTGATGGCCAGTGATGATGAACATTTTTTCATGTTTCTGTTGGCTGCATAAATGTCTTCTTTTGAGAAGTGTCTGTTCATATCGTTCGCCTCCTTTTTGATGGGGTTGTGATTTTTTTCTTGTAAATTTGTTTAAGTTCTTTGTAGATTCTGGATATTAGCCCTTGGTCAGATGGGTAAATTGTAAAAATTTTCTCCCATTCTGTAGGTTGCCTGTTCATTCTGATGGTAGTTTCTTTTGCTGTGCAGAAGCTCTTTAGGTTAATTAGATCCCATTTATCAATTTTGACTTCTGTTGCCATTGCTTTTGGTGTTTTAGACATAAAGTCCTCGCCCATGCCTATGGCCTGAATGGTATTGCCTAGGATTTCTTCTAGGGTTTTCATGGTTTTAGGTCTAACATTAAAGTCTTTAATCCATCTTGAATTAATTTTTGTATAAGGTGTAAGGAAGGGATCCAGTTTCAGCTTTCTACATATGGCTAGCCAGTTTTCCCAGCACCATTTATTAAATAGGGAATACTTTCCCCATTTCTTGTTTTTGTTAGGTTTGTCAAAGATCAGATGGTTGCAGATGTGTGGTATTAATTCTGAGGGCTCTGTTCTGTTCCATTGATCTATATCTCTGTTTTGGTACCAGTACCATGCTGTTTTGGTTACTGTAGCCTTGTAGTAGTTTGAAGTCAGGTAGCATGATGCCTCCAGCTTTGTTCTTTTGGCTTAGGATTGTCTTGGCAATGCGGGCTCCTTTTTGGTTCCATATGAACTTTAAAGTAGTTTTTTTCCAATTTTGTGAAGAAAGTCATTGGTAGCTTGATGGGGATGGCATTGAATCTATAAATTACCTTGGCAGCATGGCCATTTTTACGATACTGATTCTTCCTATCCATGAGCATGGAATGTTCTTTCATGTATTTGTATCCTCTTTTATTTCATTGAGCAGTGGTTTGTAGTTCTCTTTGAAGAGGTCCTTCACATCCCTTGTAAGTTGGATTCCTAGGTATTTTATTCTCTTTGAAGCAATTGTGAATGTCAGTTCAGTCATGATTTGGCTCTGTTTGTCTGTTATTGGTGTATGAGAATGCTTGTGATTTTTGCACATTGATTTTGTATCCTGAGATTGCTGAAGTTGCTTATTAGCTTAAGGAGATTTTGGGCTGAAACCTTGCGGTTTTCTAGATATACAATCATGTCATATGCAAACAGGGACAATTTGACTTCCTCTTTTCCTAATTGAATACCCTTTATTTCTTTCTCCTGCCTGATTGCCCTGGCCAGAACTTCCAACACTATGCTGAATAGGAGTGGTGAGAGAGGGCATCCCTGTCTTGTGCCAGTTTTCAAAGGGAATGCTTCCAGTTTTTGCCCATTCAGTATGATATTGGCTGTGGGTTTGTCGTATATAGCTCCTACTATTTTGAGATACGTCCCATCAATACATAGCTTATTGAGAGTTTTTAGCATGAAGGGCTGTTGAATTTTGTCAAAGGCCTTTTCTGCATCTAATGAGATAATCATGTGTTTTCTGTCTTTGGTTCTGTTTATATGATGGATTACGTTTATTGATTTGCATATGTTGAACCAGCCTTGCATCCCAGGGATGAAGCCCACTTGATCATGGTGGATAAGCTTTTTGATGTGCTGCTGGATTCGGTTTGCCAGTATTTTATTGAGGATTTTTGCATCAATGTTCATCAGGGATATTGGTCTAAAATTCTCTTTTTTGGTTGTGTCTCTGCCAGGCTTTGGTATCAGGATGATGCTGGCCTCATAAAATGAGTTAGGGAGGATTCCCTCTTTTTCTATTGATTGGAATAGTTTCAGAAGGAGTGGTACCAGCTCATCTTTTTACCTCTGGTAGAATTCAGATGTGAATCCGTCTGGTCCTGGACTTTGGTTGGTAGGCTATTAATTATTGCCTCAATTTTAGAGCCTGTTATTAGTCTATTCAGGTATTCAACTTCTTCCTGGTTTAGTCTTGGGAGGCTGTATGTGTCCAGGAATTTATCCATTTCTTCTAGATATTCTAGTTTATTTGCATAGAGGTGTTTATAGTATTCTCTGATGGTACTTTGTATTTCTGTGGGATCAGTAGTGATATCCCCGTTATTATTTTCTATTGCATCTATTTGATTCTTCTCTCTTTTCTTTTTTATTAGTCTTGCTAGTGGGCTATCAATTTTGTTGATCTTTTCGAAAAACCTGCTCCTGGATTCATTGATTTTTTTGAAGGGCTTTTTGTGTGTCTATCTCCTTCAATTCTTCCCTGATCTTAGTTATTTCTTGCCTTCTGCTAGCTTTTGAATATGTTTGCTCTTGCTTCTCTAGTTCTTTTAATTGTGATGTTAGGGTGTCAATTTAGATCTTCCCTGCTTTCTCTTGTAGGCATTTAGTGCTATAAATTTTCCTCTACACACTGCTTTAAATGTGTGCAGAGAATCTGGTATGTTGTGTCTTTGTTCTCATTGGTTTCAAAGAACATCTTTATTTCTGCCTTCATTTCATTAAGTACCCAGTAGTCATTCAGGAGCAGGTTGTTCAGTTTCCATGTAGCTGAGCAGTCTTGAGTGAGTTTCTTAATCCTGAGTTCTAGTTTGATTGCACTGTGGTCTGAGAGACAGTTTGTTATAATTACTGTTCTCTTGCATTTGCTGAGGAGTGCTTTACTTCTAACTATGTGGTCAATTTTGGAATAAATGTGATGTGGTGCTGAGAAGAATGTATGTTCTGTTGATCTGGGGTGGAGAGTTCTGTAGATGTGTATTAGGTCTGCTTGGTGCAGAGTGAGTTCAGTTCCTGGATATCTTTGTTAACTTTGTGTCTCGTTGATCTGTCTAATGTTGACAGTGGGGTGTTAATGTCTCCCATTATTATTGTGTGGGAGTCTAAGTCTCTTTGTAGGTTTCTAAGGACTTGCTTTATGAATCTGGGTGCTCCTATATTGGTTGTATATATATTTAGAATAGTTAGCTCTTCTTGTTGAATTGATCCCTTTACCATTATGTAATGGCCTTCTTTGTCTCTTTTGATCTTTGTTGGTTTAAAGTCTGTTTTACAAATTCACAAGAAAAAATCAAACAACCCCATCAAAAAGTGGGTAAAGGATATGATCAGACACTTCTCAAAAGAAGACATTTATGCAGCCAAAAGACACATGAAAAAATGCTCATCATCACTGGCCATCAGAGAAATGCAAATCCAAACCAGTTAGAATGGTGCTCATTAAAAAATCAGGAAACAGCAGGTGCTGGAGAGGATGGGGAGCAATAGGAACACTTTTATACTGTTGGTGGGACTGTAATCTAGTTCAACCATTGTGTTAGACAGTGTGGTGATTCCTCAAGGATGTAGAACTAGAAGTACCATTTGACCCAGCCATACCATTACTGGGTATATACCCAAAGGATTATAAATCATGCTGCTAAGAAGACACATGCACACGTATGTTTATTGTGGCACTATTCACAATAGCAAAGACTTGGAACCAACTCAAATGTCCAACAGTGATAGACTGGATTAAGAAAATGTGGCACATACACACCATGGAATACTGTGTAGCCGTAAAAAGGATGAGTTCATGTCCTTTGTAGGGACATGGATGAAGCTGGAAACTGTCATTCTGAGCAAACTATCACAAGGACAGAAAACTAAACACCGCATGTTCTCACTCATAAGTGGGAATTGAACAATGAGAACACTTGGACATAGGGTGGGGATCGTCACACACCAGGGATTGTCATGGGGTGGGGGGAGGTGGGAGGGATAGCATTAGGAGATATACCTAATATAAATGACGAGTTAATGGGTGTAGCACACCAACATGGCACATGTATACATATGTAACAAACCTGCACGCTGTGCACCTGTACCCTAGAACTTAAAATACAATAAAAAAAGGAAAAAGAAAATTAAAAAATAAAAATAAAAGTCTGTTTTATCAGATACTAGAATTCTAACCCCTGCTTTTTTTTGGTTTCCATTTGCTTGGTAGATCTTCCTCCATCCCTTTATTTTGAGCCTATGTGTATTTCTGCACATGAGATGGGTCTCTTGAATACAGCACTCTGATGGGTCTTGACTCTATCCAATTTACCACTCTGTGTCTTTTAATTGGAGCATTTAGCCCATTTACATTTAAGGTTAATATTGTTATGTGTGAATTTGATCCTGTGATTATGATGTTAGCTGGTTATTTTTGTCGTTAGTTGATGCAGTTTCTTCCTAGCATCAGTGGTCTTTACAATTTGGCGTGTTTTTGCAGTGGCTGGTACCGGTTGTTCCTTTCCATGTTTAGTGCTTCCTTCAGGAGCTCTTGTAAGGCAGGCCTGGTGGTGACAAAATCTCTCAGCATTTGCTTGTCTTTAAAGGATTTTATTTCTCCTTCACTTATGAAGCTTGGTTTGGCTGGATATGAAATTCTGGGTTGAAAATTCTTTCCTTTAGAAATGTTGAATATTGGCCCCCACTCTCTTCTGGCTTGTAGAGTTTCTGCCAAGAGATCTGCTGTTAGTCTGATGGGTTTCCCTTTGTGGGTAACCCGACCTTTCTCTCTGGCTGCCCTTAATATTTTTCCCTTCATTTCAACTTTGGTGAATCTGACAATTATATGTCTTGGAGTTGCTCTCCTTGAGGAGTATCTTTGTGGCGTTCTCTGTATTTCCTGAATTTGAATGTTGGCCTGCCTTGCTAGATTGGGGAAGTTCTCCTGCATAGTATCCTGCAGAGTGTTTTCCAACTTGGTTCCATTCTTCCTGTCAGTCATATCTAAACCCAGACTCTTTTTTGTCCCCTCACTTAGGCTTGTCACATAAAATACATATTACCCAGTTAAATATGAATTTAAAAAAAAATTTATTGAAGTACAAGTATGTTACACATATTATCTGATATTCAAATTTATAAAGTGTCTTCTATTTTTATTTGTTAAATATGACAGTCCTAAAAATCTGTACCACTCACAGCCTTTCACAGCTGAACTCATGACTTGATCCTTCCACTTGATTAGGCCAAAAATCTTGGAGTGATCTTTTACTTCTGGCTTTCTCATCCCACACCCAATCTAGTAGGAACAACCGAATATATTCAGTATGACTGCTTTTCACCATTGATTTACCACCATCCTTGTCCAAGTTCCAAGTCACCATCATTGCTCAGTGAATTATTACAATAGTGTTCTAATTGGTGTTCCCCTTTGACATCTCTTCCTATACCATTCCAAATAATTATCAACAGAGAGCCAAAGTAACTATTTTAAGATGTAAGGCTAATCATGTTTCTTTGTACAAAACTCTGTAATAGCTCCCTATTTCATGCAGTGTAAAAGCCTAAGTAATGGCCCACAAGTCCTGTATGATCCATCACCACCATGTCACCTGTCCTTTCTTAATCATCTACTCTTCTTTACTTACTATGCTTTGTCCTTCTTGGTCATTCTTAAACATAATAGAAAAGCCACCTTAGTGCCTTTGTCTTGGCTGTTCCTTCATCCTGAAATATTCTTCCCCAGATAGCTACATGGCTAAATATTTTATGTAATTGTTGTTTCTCAAATGTCAACTTTTCAACAAGTCTCCTCTGACAAATTTATTTAAAATTGCACATATTTCCAATCCCTTATATTAAGTCGTTATCACCTTTCTTTACCTTTTCTTCTCTCAGCTCTTATCATCTTTTAATTGGGTATATGTATTTTTATTATATTTATTCCAAATATTAAAGCTGTTATGGCATATAATAAGTGCTCAACTAATATTTGTTGAATAAATAAAACAAGTTTTGTAGAGCCTTGATTATTATCTGAACCCCAAAAGCGTTTTCTATTATATAATTTTATGAAACATTAGGGTGAAGCTTTTGAATGTAGGTGTATTTTTTAAAGAAAACATATGCACATTGATCAAGATTTTATACAAAACTTAAAAATACATATATTTTTTAAACATTTTTAAACAACCAAGAGGTTTTATTAACAATGAAGATAAAGACCATCCATTAATTTATAATGCTCATGAAGAACAAAAGATTGAATCCACATTTAATGTGAATTAGTGCTGTGATCTAAGACACCAAAATAAACACCCCTTTATCAACTAAGGCCTTAAGGTTAAGGAAACAAAAATTACCTACAGGTCGAGAGCTCTGGGCCTGCTGGCAGGGCAAATTTCTACATTCCTATGACTATAAGAAAATACTCCCTAACAATAGAAGCTGTACTCCCTAACAATAGAAGCTATCAGGCTGACTCAACCCAGACCACTACAACTCTGATTGGACAGAGGACCAGACGTGCAAACATGCTTTCCTGATAAGCAATTGCAGACCTTAAACCAGTTTCAGCCAGCTTGTAGAGTTTGTGCACAAACTGTCTTTGTGTCCTTTAGTTCACCTATTCATGTAAAGAGCCCAATTCTACCTCATTTTAATGCTAAAACCCTGCCCCAAAGTGAACATGGGGTGTATGTTACATACATGTTTACCCATTGTGCATGCGTTTGGCTCCCATCATAAATATGTATAGCTTTCCCCCAAAGTCTGCTGGATTGGATAATACCAGCCCTGTGTAGCAAAAAACACAAACTGTCTTATATGGTCTGTTTCTGTGTTCCTACTGAAATCTCATGTTGAATTGTAATCCCTTGTGTTGAAGGAGGAGCCTGGTGGGGGGTGATTGAATTATAAGGGTGGGCTTCCCCCTTGCTGTACTTGTGATAAAGTTCTCAGGAGAGCTAGTGGTTTGAAAGTGTGTAGCATTTCCTCCTTCACCATCTTTTTCTCCTGCTGTGCCATAGTAAGACATGTTTGCTTCCCCTTCTCCATCCGCCATGATTGTAAGTTCCCCGAGGCCTCCCAGCCATGCTTCCTGTACAGCCTACGGAACAGTGAATTGAACAGTTGAATTGAATTGAACAGTCAATTAAACCTCTTTTTTTTTTTCCATAAATTGCCTAGTCTCAGGTAGTTCTTTATAGCAGTGCGTGAGAATGAAATAATACACTGTCATTTTCCCTCTTCGAAGAGAGGGCACCTTTGGTTCATACTGGAGACTTTCTCTTCCTGGCTTGCAAACTGATATTACCAATAAAGCTCTCCTTTCTGCTGTGTAGCCATCCTGGTGGTCTTTTGGATGACAGTGCAGAGAGATATGTAAAGTAAATTAAAATATGAAGGAAAAGATGAGGTGAAAATATATTAACACAGTTCACACTCTTTTAAATGCATCTCGGGTAAGATGACCTAACTAGTACAGTGTTTTATATAAATAGCATTTAAAAGCTTAACAGTCATGAAAATGGGAATGAGACTTATGAGAAAAATCATTTAAAAAAATCTTACATTTCATATTTGTGAAATTATTGGAAAATTATGAATCTAGTATGTAAATAAAATTGTATATAATGTAATACATGTACATAAATATGTATGTAATATAATGTATATAATGTAATACATGTACATACATATGTGTATACACATATATACATATACATATGAGGTCTGTAATAGTAAAGTAGTCTGCAAGTTATTTGGTATGTATGTCAACAAAAAGAGTCAAACTCTGTGAAATATTTAAAGAGATTTGTTCTGAGCCAAATATGAGTGACCATGGCCCATGACACAGTCCTCAAGAGGTCCTGAGAACATGTGTCCAAGGTGGTCGGGGTGAAGCTTTGTTTTATGTATTTTAAGGAGGCATGAAACGTCAATCAAATACATTTAAGAAATACATTGGTTTGGTCCAGAAAGACGGGGCAACTCAAAGCGGGAGGCAGGGAAGAAGGGGGCCTTCAGGCTATAGGTAAATTTAAACATTTTCTGGTTGACGATTGGTTGAGTTTGTCTAAAGACCTGGGCATTATAGAAAGAAAATGTTCAGATTAAGATAAAACATTGTGGAGACTGAATTTCCTTTGAAGTCTTATAGTGGCTGCCCTTAGAGACAATAGATGACAAATGTTTCCTATTCAGATCTTTAAAAGGTGTTAGACTTTTAGTTAATCTCTTTAGGATTGGGAGGGGCCTGGAAGGAAAAGGTCTAGCTATGTTAATAGGGATTATTTACAGATGTGAATTTTATCCCACAAAGGACAGCTTGCAGAACCATTTCAAAATGTGACAAAAATATGTTTTTGGGGGTAAAATATTTTGATTTTCTTCCTTGTCTTGTTCTGTTATGCCAGAGTCATGTCAGAAAATAAGTCACGATATATAGGATTAAATAGAATCCATCTGATGAGAATGTATGGCTTGTAGGGCGTGGCTCCCCCAGACCCCTTAGATAGGAATCTGGGCAAGAGAAAAAGATAAGAAAATCAGAATTTATTCTCTCTCTCTCTATATATAGAGGGCTATCTATATTCTGCAGATTACTTTATGACCCATCAGGAACCATGAGTGTTTTATAAACTGCGCCGTGAGGAAAACTTTCTTCTCACTAGAACCCAGGGCAGACAGCTTAGGAACATTCCACAGGTAGAAGCTTAGATTTGGTCATTGCTATGAGCACCTGAAAAAGGGGCCTGAACCTTCTCGTTACTTGATTTTAAACTCAGAAATGGCAAAAGATGGTTAAGACAATCTCACATAAATCTGGGGAAGCCAGAACAGGAGAAAAGTACACTCTGCTTTCTGACTGGAACCTTGTGACAGACACAGCAACCAGAGAGGAGAGAGGGGCTGTAGGCCTCAGCAGGAGACATTAGCACGTAGCAAGGCCTAACCTTGGTGAGCACATCTTAATGGATGCCAGGAAAGGATGTTTCTGAAGCAAACACACCTCATCCTTCAATTTCTGGACTATGTGTAAAAAGCCTTTTTGTAAATTGTATTTTATCCAATATGTACATTGGAGTAAAATGCAGTGGAAATAAACAGACCAAACTTAAGAAAATTTAACCATGCTTTGCTACATATTAGAACCATTAGAACCATTAGAAACATAAGTTTCCACGTCAATTTTACATCTAAATTTTAGGTAATATTTGCATTTAGCCTCTCTCTGCTTTTTTTCTCACCACCACAAAATCCATAAAAATGTTATCACTTTAAAGACCATCTGCAAAAGAAAACCAGACTAAAAACAGAATGTTTGATGCATAAACTGTCCTTTAGATCACCTTTAAGACAATATTCCATCAGGCAATAAAAACTTCCAGTTCAATTTCCTTTAATAGAACTAAGATTTCCCCTGAACAAAATTCTCTTCGTTTGCTGATTGGGAAAGACAGCTAATTTTAATAGCAATTGTCCCTCCAAGACTATCTTATGTTTTCAGGTTGCTTAGGAAATATGAATTTCAGGATGAAAAAAGTCATTAGCAATAGAGGTATTTAGAAGATGTAAAAGGGTAAAATGTACGTTTAGCACAAAGCAGCAATCTCTTTACTCATAGCTCCAGGGTTATCAGGATGTCATTAACAGCTTTTTACTATGTAAATGTTTTCAAACTAAATAAGCTAAATGAGTGGCAAGGTGAATGTGGTTCATTCCAAAACACTTATTTAGAGTTGCTTGAAAATTGAAGAAGAAATGGTAAAATTCCAACTTCTTTCCAAACAAAGTAAACCCCAAATCTTTCCACTGCATCAAATCAATTTGTGTTCTAATGTAATTTAGTTTCATAGTATTTAGGTCAAACATTCTTTCTAGAACCCTGCAGAGTAACAAATGTTGTCACATATTTCTATTTTATTTCTTCCTAGCATGCTACAGAGGAGTACCTGTGAATTTTTACTTTGATGTAGCCTAAAAGTCTTCCTTTTCACACCTAAGGAGATGAACTGTTTCCCTCCATCCCCACCCCCCCCCCCAAAAAAGGTAAAAAATTTGATGACAGAGTATCTAGGAATCAGGCAAGATTAATCTTTCTTATTTCAAAAGAGTAACAAGAAGGTTTTCAATAGATGTGCCCACTTCTATAATGCACATTTACAAAGCACCTGTCAGAGGTAGATTGTCAAGGAGATTTTTGAGTAAGACCTAAACGCTGTCTTTAAAATGCTCCTACTTTAGTAGACAGAACTGCAATTTAACAGTGAGTCCACACTGTTGATTTAGAAAATAAACAAATTTTCACAAACACCAATTACCTATAACACATATGCAATTAATGTTACTATGCTTATGTATATTTTTCCATAATATTTCTATGCAAGTATATAGATATGTTTTCTCCAAATGGGAATATACTCTGCACAATCCTTTATTGTTTGCTTTTTAAACTTACAATTCATTTATTAAATAGTGTATTTCCAGGTTTACATTTTTAATGGCATCCACATATATGGTTGTATTAAATTTATTTAACCTTGAAGTGTTGAATGATTTCATGCTACCAAAGTTTTGCTATTATTAAAAAAAAAAAAAAGCTGTGCAGAGTATGACTATAGACAGATTTTTGTGTGGTATTCAAACAGTGTTTGCAAAAATTATGACAGTGAGAAAAATCTGACATAGGAAAATTTTAACCGTAAGAAATCTGACCTAACCAACTCCTTGCTTCTAACTCCCAAGCTGCCCTTGTTCATTCCTGGGTATAGGCCAAGCTAATTATGGGAGGAATTTAGTCTATAGTTTAACTTTGACACAAAGATAATAACAGCCCCTTCCCCAAACAAACTCCCTCTTGGGGACCAGATCACCTTTGTGAAATGAACAAATTAGTTACAAGTTTAGAAATTATGCCTCAAGAGTTATGCAGCCACAAACTACAAGACTCCCAACTTACCCAATTGTTTCTATAGATAACATCACTACTGTAAAACCTAAGACTGATGATCCAGGTATTTTTCGGACTCTGCATTCTGATGGCCCAGCTAGCACCATCCAGACCAATAAACTGGCTCATCTGGTCTTGCAGCCCCACCCACGAACTGATTCAGCACAATAAGATAAGCTTCCTGTGGTTTCATCCTGGATGCAACCAATCAGCATTCGTCATTTCCTAGTTCCCTTGCCCTCCAAACTATCCTTAAAAACACCCTAGCCTCTGAACTTTTGGGGAGGATGATTTGAATGAAAAAGAACTCCTGTACTTCCACTTAGCCAGCTCTGCATTTTTTAAACTCTCTATTGCAAAAACCTGCTGTTCTCAATACTTTGGCTTTTCTGGGCAGTGGGTAATTACAATATTTAATCATTTCCTTAGGATATGGGCAATTACAATATTTAACCATTTTCTTAGGATAAGTAACTAGAGGTAACATTTCTGGAGCAAATGTGAGGAACAATTTTAAGACCTAAGAAATATACAGCCAAATCAATCTTTTACATTGTCTTTTATTGATACAAAAACAAATTATACTGTTTTTTCTTTCTTATTATTAATAAGTCTTATGATGTTTTTCCTATTTATAGTTTTTTTTTAAGCTTTTAATTTGTGAATACTTTTCTATTGGGCATGCATTTTAGTTTATTGTGTGTAAGAGTTCTTTTAATAATAAAAATATACCTGCACAGAAGCAAGGGGCAGAGAACATCCCTTTGTTGACATCTAGTAAGGGGCTAGGGATCTCAGTCCTACAACCTCAAGGAACTGAATGTTGCTCATTATCTAAATAAGTTTAGAAGCAGGATCTTTTCTAAACTCTTCAGATAATAACCAGTCATGTTGACACCTTGAATTTAACCTTGTGAGACTTCAATCAGAGAAGCTAGTCAAACCACCCAGATTTAAACTTATTATATTCAGAAATTCTCCATTGTTCCTAGTTTAGTTAGGGCTTTTAATTTAAATATACATGTATTATTTTATATATATATATATATATATATTTAAGCATCTTTTATAAAGTTTTATTCTATTGTGATATATCTATGCAGTGAATTATATAAAATATTTTCCAATTTGGAATTTATGAAATGAACCTTTCTTGAGCCTCATACATTTTTCTTTTCAGTTATGTTATTTAAGATTATATGTATTAGACTTATGTGCATATATACAGACATATAAGGAGCATAGATATGTAATATGTTCCTTTCTTTTATTTTCTGCTATAATTTTTTTTAAAATTTAACTTTTAGGATTATGCCAGAGTCATAACATGAGTTGAAAAGCTTTCCATCATTTTTACATATCATGTAAATTATTTGTTCTTAAATATGTGCAAAAAATAATTTGCCTGTAAAATCATTTTGGACAGAAAACAGGCAGTTGTGGGCTTGGAAAATGACACCCCAAAGTATGGAGCTTTGACATACTAAATACTTAGAACTGAAAAAGCAGTCTCAGAACCAAGATCTCTCTGACCTTCCCCTACTCCTCTGTCTCTCCGTTCTCTTTCTCTCCTGAAGCACAGGGAGGGGCTGTCTGTGAAATTTCCCTTGTCTGACTGAGGGAAGTTCCTCAGGAAGAATCCCATTGTCATGAACCCTGCTCCCTGGAGTTAACATTAACCAGAGAAGATTAAGTCCTATTGTAGGGGAAGGGGAGGAAACTAAGGGTCTCCACGCCCAGGAGCTTATGCCCAGATAGACTTTTCACTCAGTCTTCTGAGGGCTGCTACCTGAGAGACTTTATCTGCATAATAAGACAATCTTTGTTTCCAGTGTAGTTCCTCTCCTCACATTCCCATAGCTTGTAAAATGTCAAAACTCTAAAGATAGCCAAGAGGGTTGAAAATACGGGTGAACAGAGCTAATTTTGTTGATTCACATCTTACTTCTGTATTATAATAATATTGATTGTTATAGGATATTAACTCCATTAGATTTATATTGATACTTCTATTTGTTAAGAAATTTCATAATTTTTTTACTCAATTGTCTCAATAAATATGTAAACTAATTAACTTTATTCTTACTCTCTATGTAAATATACTAAGGAATATAGTGACCAAGAAGGGCTTAACATTACCCTCGGCCTGACTATACAGGCTTCTTCCTGACTATAGGCTCCGGACCTCTCTTTTCTTTGAGTATTTACTTTAGAAAATTTGCAATTGTAAATTCTTTCTCTGACCCTTTGAGATGTCAGTCTTCTACAACTCAGGAACGTCTTTCTCAAGGACCTAGTAATAATTCCCTTGAATTGTAATCATCAAGAAAGATAGGTCTCCTGTCTCTCAGTCTCTATGAGATTATAGGATCATAACTTCCAGAAGGGACAATTTGCAAACACATAGATGGCCTGATTACATTGACCAAGCTTCTCCCTTAACATTTGCCAAGACTTTTCCATTGACTCATCCCAGAATTTAAAAATTCTCTTTTCTTTTTTTCCGGTGGAATGGAGTTCAATATCTCTCTCTCTGTCTCTCTCTCTCTCTCTCTCTCTCTCTCTCTGTCTCTCCTATCACATAGTCTTAAATAGAATCTTCCTTCTCATTTTTAACAAGTATTCAGAGCAATATTTATTTTTTAATAGATGTTAAATAATTTGCCTTGGTTCAGGTAGTTATTTAATAGCTCAGCTGAGACTATAACTTTTCTACTACATCAAAATTGCTTGGAATGCTTATGTGTAGGCATTGTATCACTTTTAAAATAAGTAGAGAGAGAGAGAGAGAATAATTGGGTTTCCTTTTATTTCAAAATGTAGTTCTATTCAACAAGCATTGGTAACTTGAAATGACTTCTGTATCAGTTCTTCAGCTTTGGTTACAATGCACAACAGGTGATATGAATGGCAGGTAATCTGAGCCTCAATATGTATCATTCAAAGCTTTTTTTTTTTTTTTTTTTTTTTTTTTTGAGGCGGAGTTTCGCTCTTGTTTCCCAGGCAGGAGTGCAATGGCGCGATCTCACTGCAACCTCCACCTCCTGGTATAACGCCTAAGGTCCTTGCCTAGCCACACCAAAGAATTGGTGCGGCTGCTGACCACAGCAAGTGATGGAGACACAGACCGAGAGAGAGGAAAAAGTTGTAGGCTTTACTGAGCAGAGTGAAAGTACAAAGCTTCCACAGCGTGGAAGGGTTCCCAAACGGGTAGCCAGAGTTAGATTATACGATTGCCTTTTAAACTCCTTAAGGCGGGAAATACGTGGGGTGGGAAGATGTTACCAGAGCGAGAAACAAAGACAATTAACCATTTGTGACATGTCTTAGATCTTGAGGAAAACTGGAATTGCAACTTAGGTTTTATCTACTTTATGACCTTGCAGCGGCATGGCAAAGGAGACAGGATCTTACAGGACTTTACAAAGTATGTTTACAAGGAATTGGAATTGGGAGTATAGATAAGGTCCACTGGTCACAGAAAAACGGGCAGTTAACATTCCTTTTACTTTAGTTTCAGAGGAGGGGAAGGGAGAGAGGACACAGGGAAACTTACAGCAAAATTTTTGCTGTTTATAGCTTTCTTGGGGAAGAAAACACATGCACAAATCCTGGTGTTAGGAATATTTTAAGCATATATCTGCAATATTATTCATCCAGGACTGAAGTAAGTCCTGATGCAGGAAATGAGTGAGTTTCACAGCTTTCTGAGCCCCTACTCGACCCAGGAAGCCCACCTGGCACCTCCTCTCACAGGGTTCAAGTGATTCTCCTGTCTCAGCCTCCTGAGTAGCTTGGATTACAGGCATGCGCCACCAGGCCCAGCTAATTTTGTATATTTAGCACAGAAGGGGGTTTCTCCATGTTGGTCAGTCTGGTCTCGAACTCCCGACCTCAGGTGATCCACTCGCCTCAGCCTCCCAAAGTGCTGGGATTACAGGCGTGAGCCACTGCGCCTGGCCTTCAAATCTTTTGTAACTGTCAGTGCAGTTGCTTCGAGTACTCTAGCTGGTTAGCATCTACATAACAAGTGACCCTTTATATTCCATACTTCAGGATAATTGTAGTGAACACTCAACTTTGAAATATAGACCTGCATTTTATATTTTGCACAGCCACTTATCAGCTTTGTGTCCTTGCACAGGGTCTGTTGTCAGTACAGTAAAAATTGCAATGATGATATATGCTTCCTGGCCTTTTGAACAAGCTAAACAAATTATATTTTAAAGCACTTTGATATAACATTGCTACATAAAAGGAAGTGACTATAATTACTTGGTCAATGGAAATCTGTGGGATTTTGCAGTTGCCCCCATAGTAGCTTAGGTCAAATTCGAAGTCAGAGTTCCAAGAGGGTATTGATGTTTAATGTCAAAAATAATGTATTTAACTTTCTTAAACAAGAAAAACTTTATTGTCACAGATCCATTTAACACCATAGCTTCAAACAATTTATTCCAAGTTCCAACTATTTTTTGTCTTATATTCCATGAAGATTACTTGTCTTAGGTTTTTTGTGGAACTGATATTTAAGAGATTGGACAATGGGAAAGTTTGAACAGCTACATTCTACCGCAGGCTTAGAAAAGTCAATGAAAACAGTGTTTTTTAAAACAAAGACTGTTGAACATGCAAATTTTGTAAATTTATAATAGCTTTGGGATATACGTGTAATGTGTTAAGACTCATTCTGAGCCAAGTTACAGAAAACTAGTTCAATTAGCTAAAAGTGGAAAGGGTACATGAAGCAAACTTCAAAAAGAGATGAGGTGGAAGTGGTTTCATAATGACTGGATGCAAGAATGCCAAAGTCATCAGGCCTCTTGTTTTCACATCGGATCTGGTCTCATTCTATTTTCTCTTTCGTTGTCTTTCATCTCCACTTCTCTGTTGTGACTTCATTCTCTTAGACCAGCTGTACCAACAAATCTAAGATCATAACCAAATGCTGTTTCTGGCTTTTATACAATTTAGCCTCATGAGCGGACAGAGAGTACTTTTCCGCCAGTTTCCATTATATAAAATCCAAGGGAAGAGCTCTGATTGATCTAGTTTGGGTCATGTGTCTATCTATCTCTGGAAAAGGAAGGAGAGCAGAGGGAAGTGTTTGTTGTTTTGACCATCACCTCCAATATGAAGGGAATAGGAGGAATAGCACTGGGGCTTCCACCGCAGCAGAATGGGAAGGAAGTGTTGGGCAGACAAACCACTGTTATAAACTACAGATTATCGATAATGGATTTATTAATTTGAAATAATCAGGCCATGTGCTGTGGCTCATACCTGCGACCCTGATATGTTGGGAGACCAAGGTAAGAGGATCACTTGAGTAGTTAAAGACCAGCCTAAGCAACAAAGAGAGACCTCGTCTCTACAAAATTAAAAAAAAAAAAAAAATAGCCAGTCACGGTGGTGCAAGCCTACGGTTCCAGCTATTCAGGATGCTGAGGTCGGAGGATAGCTTGAGCCCTAGAGGTCAAGGCTGCAGTAAGCCATGATCACACCACTGCACTCCAGCCTGGGTGACAGAGTGAGATCCTGTCTCAAAAAAGAAAAAAAAAATAATAATAATCATATATCAATAAGCCAGAAGCAATCCTGTAAATCTGGATTTTCTAGGTTTATGGTAACATTTTCAGACTAGATTTATTTTATTGTATAATTACCTAAGGATTGTGTTCCCTTGGAAGAGTAATAACTGAATGTGTATCATAAAAATGGATTATTCAAACAAAATACATATTCTATTTTCAGACCTGCCATTTGCTTTATATTAGTATAATTCAAGACAGGAATCTAGCACCAGACATATGTGAATGTGCTTATTTCCTGTTAGAAATTGGTAATTTCTTATTCTGCTATAAAACGAAAACTCTTGTGTCCAGGAACACTTTTGAAATAGCCATTAGTATTTATTTTTCTTTATGCTAAAAAAATTTTTTAAGTGCCATACACATTTTTAGCATAGTATATTCATTACATGTTTGAGAAGGCCTGACAGTGTGTATACCTGACAATACCATGAGCTTATTAAAAATCAGGGCCAATGTCTTATTCATCTTTGTTTTCCAGTCCCTGTCAGAGTACTTTACACAATAGCAGGCTTTCTATCCATGTTTGTGGAAATGAATTAGCAATTGAGCATTAATATATTGTTTGGTGATAAATAAATATACAGGTTCTCAACTCAGAGAAATCACTGAAGACCTGATGTTCAGAGAACTTTGTTTTCTAAAAATGTAAGTGGTGAATAGCCATATACAACTAAAGATATGTTCCTGTATGCTTTTCTTTTTTTCTGTTTCCTCTCATTCTTGCCCTCATTTTTTTTTTTTTTTTTTTTTAACATAGTCCATGTTTTGCTACTTCTTGACACCAGTGGCTATTGTGGGAAACCCATGCCCTGCCAACAACTTCTCAGTTATTTTGGGAAGCCAATAAATGTATCTCATGTATCCTCAAGAATAAGTTCAGGCAGCCATCCTCATTTTCTTCCTCTTCTGGCTACTTCCCTGCCTACAGACAGTCCTGTGAAGCGCACTGCCGTTACCTTGATTTGAGCGAGTAAATTGCTTCCACAGCTGAATTTTATTTGGCCTGGGTTCTTCCCAGGTATCTCTACAGCTTCTGCTCATTATGCATTATCTAATTGCCATGGCTGATCTGGTACAGTGCTGACTGCCACACTTGTTCTGAAGTCTTCCCAGTCCCAGAGTAGCACTGTCATGTGAAGCCTATTTTGCCAAAGGATTTCTGCCTTTCAGGCAAATGTAAAAGATGCCTCCTTCCATGCCCTTTGTACTACAGTGTCATCTAGCCTTAACATTGCTTTGTTCCCAGTTTCTTACAATATTTCTAGTGAAACTGTTATTTAAGATTTTTTAAAAATTGAGATGGGCTCTCCCTATATTCCCTAGGCTGGTCTCGAGCTCTTGAGTTCAAGTGATCCTCCCACCTCAGCCTCCCAATATGCTGGGATGACAGGTATGAGCCAATATACCTGGCCTATGTAAGATTTGAATTCAGCACTCACATACTCCACGCCAATTTAGATGACTCACTATGAACTCAAAGTTTGAAAATCAGAAAAATAGGGATGAGGACAATATCATGGTGAGAGTTGCTAAGGGTTCTGGACTTTCTGCTATACAAACCTGAATATTTAGTCATAAGAAAAATAAAGCCATGACAATCTGTCATTTTTGTCTAAATTTTGATAATTTGGGCAATAGTGAGTGGCTTCTCTTCTACCACACTCACTCCTGATTGTCTTCCTTCCTTTCACATTGAAACGTTCTCTGGCTTCCTTCTATTTTATCTTAAAATGTTGGTTTGGGGAATGTTATGGACTGAATTTTGTGTCCTCCAAATTCATAACATGAAGGCCTCACTCCTAGTACTCAGAATGTAACTCTATTTGGATATAGAGTCTTTAAACTGGTAATTAAGTTACCATGATGTCATTTTGGTGAGTCCTAATTCAATGTGACTGGTGTCCTTTTAAGAGGAAGAAATTAGGACACAGACACGTACAGAAAAAAGACCATGTGAAAGGAAAATATCCATCTACAAGCAAAGGGAAGAAGCCCCAGAAGAAATCAACCCTACTGACACCTTGGTCTTAAACTTCTAGCCTGCAGAATTGTAAGAAAATAAATGTCTATTGTTTAAGCGACCCACTCTGTAAGACTTTGGTATGGCAACCCTAGCAAACTAATACAGGGGTCCTCTCTCTTCTCTAATTAATCTCTCATTAGGGGAATTTATCTAATCCTGTGGCTTTAATATTATTTCTGGGATGAAAGAAAGGAAACATTTTTTATAAATTATTTGAAGAGTTAAGTATAGTTTGAAAAATCTAATAGAGAATGATTGTTGTTCACATGGAAATGACAAAATATTAAAGCATCTAAATAAAGTAATGTTGCCATATTTATTAGTGTAGTCTCCCAGCCGCCAGCAGCAGCATCACAATTCAACTTTCTAAAAATACAAAATCTGGGATCCTACCCCAGGCCTACAGAATCAGAAACTCTGAAAATGAGGCCCAGCATTCTGTGTTTTAACAAGCTTTCTAGGAGCTCCTGATGCGTGCTGAAGTTTGAGGATCATAGATTATAATGAGCTAGAAATGGAAAACAGCATAAATATGCCCTTGTGTTGAGGATATAAAATGGCATCCTGGTAAAGTTAGTAATTTTCCCGAAAGTCCCTAATCTCTATGTTCTGATTCTTCTCTCTTTGCTCTGTGCTTTTATGACTTTCAAGTTAGTTCAGGACAATCCAGCACTTGATACAATTGTGATTTGTATTGCTCTTTATTTCATTTGAGGATTTTCTCTCTGGTAGATCTACAAATCCTACGCCTTCTCTTCTCCTCCCATTATTCCTATTACCAAATGCATGCTTCACAATGCCCATTAAAAAAAAAAAAACCCTATACAGAAATATTTCAAAACTAGCTTTTCTCCTTGTGTCTTGATATGCTACTAAAATGGAATTCAACTGAATAGTTCCACTGATTTGATACAGATTAAAATATACTCAGGATCTTATATATAAGTCACAGAGGGGGATATTTTTGGTTTGATAAGATTAAATAGGTTTAATTTTTTGATGAAATTAAAAACAACAATTGGGTTATTGGCTATAACATATCAGTGCCTTATAATTTTTCCCAAATTCTACCAACAAATTATTCAGACTTTGTAGTATTTTACATATGTGTATATGCTTTTATTTGCATTCTGAAACATGACTAATCTTTAGGAGAGCACTCAAGCAACTTGATACATACACATTTGTGTGTGTATGCACTCCCAAATAGTTTGTACATATGTTAAGTGGCTTACTCACTTAAATGTCCACATGTGCCTATTTATAAACCCTAAGTTGTCATAGGTACAATTAACCTAACAGTCACTTTTTGATTTAAATTAAATCTACCTTTTGAGTTGAGACTACAGCATGTCTCAATTTGTTTCTTTACAGCTCCCTAAGCAGGGCAGTGTCTTCTGCATGTGGTGGGGTCATCAACTGCAGACTGGGCTATTTGGATCAGTGATGCCCTTAATTAACACACAGAAGGTCATGTGAGTGCCCAGGAGCTGCCCATGGCAGATGCTTTGGCTAATCATTATTGGATCCAATCACTATTAATTACTAAAGTTTCACTGGGGTTTGCAAGTGTTGAGAGGAAACAGCAGGTTTTTCTATACAGCCCATCGAAGTCATTCTTCTTGTCCATTAACTCTTATGAGGTCATGACGCTAATGCTTTCCCATGAGGACCATGTATCTTTCTTCCCATGCACTGTGTGCTTCTGGAGTTTGCAGAGTCTAGTTTGGATCACAGCCACATTGGTATATCACATTCTTAACTAACACAGACATTTCCATTTAGTGTGGCAGAAAATACCTGGTAATCTCAGGAGCAGGGAGATAAGTATTGAGTTCCGTTTGATCACGACGACCAAAAGACATTGTTATAAAGAGCTCTTTTGTAAGTGGCCCAGGACTAAGCTGTCTACTTTTCTTTACAGTAAAACTTTAAAAAATTATTGCCATAATTTTTGAATTTGGATCGAGGCTTAAAGATTTTCTCCCTTGCTCTTGTATAAACTTGACAAAAGAGCTATTTAAAACCATGCCTATAATTTTTATATCACTTAAGATTATTAATGTATTAATTTATTCCCATAAAATACATAAGAAAGAATCTGTAATCAGAGGTTGGAGAATTGTGGCCATTTTCCCTACTGGCCCAGATCTAGAAATTGTACATGATTGGAGAGAAGCAACATTTGGGTCTCAAATATTTGATTTTCAATAAGATGAATATCACCAAACAATTATACAGTAACTGTACTGACCTCATTTTTCCTTTGTATGTACATCCTAAGCAAGCTAATAGTCAATAGATTATTACTTTGCTACCAATTTTCAAACCAACATTTTTATTCTTTTTATTTTCTACTTTGGCTCTGCAGGTCAATTCAGTTGAGCAAATATTTTATGACCTCCAATAAGTGAAATGCCCATACTGAGGCTAGAGATGATACAAAATAAACAGAAGGAAATTCAAATGTTTTGCTTTTGAGAATATTAAAAATAATAGAGTAGATAAAACTTGAATACTAACAAATATTGGCAAGATATAGTAACATGGTAAGGTGAGTTACAAGCAAATTGGTTAGAAGTGTGAGGAGGTCCCTTTGCACATAGAACAGAAGCCTAACTCTTTAGCTGACCGTTTGAGGCCATGGTAATATGCAACTCAGCACACTGCTTGGGCTTGAGCTTACTTTTTAATTTTTCTTTCTGTTTCTTTTTACCTGACACCCTGTACTTTGGGAGGCCGAGGCAGGTGGATCACCTGAGGTCAGGAGTTCAAGACCAGTCTGGCCAACATGGTGAAACCCTGTCTCTACTAAAAATACAAAAAATAGCTGGACGTGGTGGCACACGCCTGTGGTCCCAGCTACTTGGGAGGCTGAAGCAGGAGAATCGCTTGAACCCGGGAGGCGGAAGGTTGCAGTGAGCCAAGGTCACACCACGGCACTCCAGCTTGGGTGACAGAGAGAGACTCCATCTCAAAAAAAAAAAAAAAAAAAATACATCTTGAAGATCAGTTAGAATGACCACGTACTGATGGAATTTTGAGAGAGGAGCGTCAAATATCACTTTAATGATATCGTTAATCAAAAATGATAAGACAAAATTAGAAGAGGGTGAGAATATTAGTCCAATGAGTTGGGGGATAGGAAAGGTAATAAAAGTACTTATTTAATACTTTCTTTTTTGAGATGGAGTTTCGCTCTTGTCGCCCAGGCTGGAGTGCAATGGCACGATCTCGGCTCGATGCAACCTCTGCCTCCCGGGTTCAAGTGATTGTCCTGCCTCAGCCTCCTGAGTAGCTGGGATTACAGGCACGTACCACCATGCCCAGCTAGTTTTGTATTTTTAGTAGAGATGGGGTTTCTCCATGTTGGTCAGGCTGGTCTCGAACTCCCAACTTCAGGTGATCCTCATGACTTTGGGTGATCCATCCACTCATAATATGTTAACATTGAGCTATTATCTTGTCACCTAATTAAAAATATTGAGGTGCAAATTGAAAAGGTATATCTGGGGCCAAAAAGAAAATACTGGGACTGAAGAGTTAGATTTGAAAGCCATTACTGTAGAAATTCTATTTGAAATCAAAAGTGACCATCTAATGGAGGCCTACAAGGAGAAGCACGGGAAGATATGCTTGAGCTTAGGTGTTCCTAAATTAATTGGCAATTGGAAGAATAGAAAGCTGTGGAGAACCCAAAGAAGCACTCATCTGGAAACCTTGAGAAAGAAGGAGAGTAATGTAAGGGAGAGTTTAAACAAGCGAGGTCTCCTGACTGCCATCCACGGCTGGAGAAAACTCAAAGAGCGAATTTTCATTCAAATTGAAAAAAATGGCTTTGAATGGACAGTGAAGGGATTGGTCAGCACGCTTTACCAAAGAGTTTCATTAGAAAGTGTGAGCAAAAATTTCCAGGGCATTGGTATTAAGTGGCTGGCAAAATGAGGTAGAATTTTTTTTTAAGAGAATCAACATAAAATTGGAGAAATTTGTCAATAACAAGTTATTTACCCTAAATTTCTTATCTGTAAACTGAGGTTATTGTAACATACATTTAAAAATCGTTGCAAAGATTAGATTCTAGTACCATACTAACAACATAAGCACTTGCTAAGCATTATTATCTATTACAGTTTTAACTGTTATAGAATTCAAGCTCTCTTTTATATATTTGGTCACTAACAATTCCTTTTTTTTTCTTCTTCTTCTTGCTCAGCTCCCTTTTTCTAGCTAAGTGCCACCTTGGCTAGTTTCTACTGAGTCTGGTAGACCGGGAGGCTTCAGCTGGCCTCCCCCATTCCTAACTAGTGACAATTTGTGTTTGAAACCCTGGTTCCTCAGATGGATGCTACTGGCATGACTGATGGGTACGTCTGCATCTTTCCAGAAATTTATTTTTGCTGAGCATTGGCACTCCTTCCTGCCACATTTTTATACTGGCCTCCTTCTTCTTATGGGTACTATTAACTGAGTTCTTTTGTTGTTGTTTTTTTGAGATGGAGTTTTGCTCTTGTTGCCCAGGCTGGAGTGCAATGGTGCAATGTTGGCTCACTGCAACCTCCACCTCCCGGGTTCAAGTGATTCTCCTGACTCAGCCTCCCAAGTAGCTGGGATTACAGGCACTTGCCACCATGCCCGGCTAAGTTTTTGTATTTTTAGTAGAGATGGGGTTTCTCCATGTTGGTCAGGCTGGTCTCTAACTCCCGATCTCAGGTGATCAGCCCACCTCGGCCTCACAAAGTGCTGGGATTACAGGTGTGAGCCACCACGCCCCACCTGAATTCTTTAACTGTCAAAGCTAAGCCATGATTTATGGTGAGGTTGCAGAAAGAAGGCCTCCTTATATTTTCATGGACCACTTTGTTAGGAATAAAAGCAGAACTGCCTTAAAAACTAATATTCAAATCCAGAGGTTTTTATTCCAGTTCATGAGTTCCTGGGAGGTAGACCAGTGACACTTCTGGGTGACACCTTACTGTGCTCAGAATCATATGCCTTTTTTCCTTTATGATGGACTTTTTATAAAAGTTGGAGGTTCCTCACTTCCTTGGCTGAACTGGATAAAGCAGGCCTTCCATGTCAGCTTGTCAGAAATGATCAAACAATCTGAATTTCAGGCAAACTTAGGACCAAACTGTACCCCTCTCCTACATAAGTAAAGCTCTATTCCCTGCTGTTAGAAGATGGTGCTTCATGGTTGTTTTTTGTTTTTGTTTTTTGATTCTGTACATGATTCTATAACAAACGTGGGTAAAATTTAATCATATAATTTATCTTCTGAACATCATTAATCACCTACACTCTTTTATTATGTAAGCAGTATGATGGTGAGATACCATCAGATGATCCATTTCCCCTGTAGTAACTGTATGGCATTTGTCATCCAAGTGTAGGTTGTAAAGAATGGGGAGGAAAAAATATTACTCTTTTCATCTAACCTACAAAGAAGCTGATAAAATAGTTCTCTCCTTTACTGTGTTAGTCTGCCTTGGATGTCTCTAATACATGGTGATCTTGAATAATAACTTAAAGTTGCAGCAGGATAGCTAATGATGTGAAGATATAGAAAAAGTGGCAGTGAGATTGCCTTCTATTTCAGTTATCACTGTGTTTGCTAGGGCCAGAGATTTATTATAAGCAAGGTGGAGGGATAAAATTGTTCGGTGAGCTGAACTGAAGCAAGCTCTTCAAATTACTTTAATCTCTTTTCCCCATGAGGAATATGTACATTTTAAACATGTGATGAAAGAAAGTTTTTTATTATCTTCTATCAATAATCCCCAAAGATTAGAAATAATAAAAAATAAATCCTTTTATTTGCATCTCACCTGCATCTTTGACATGCATTATGTATTTTCAAAAATATACATTAGCATTGTTAGTATCCATGCTATTATTTATAAATTAGAGAAAAATGGAAGTAGTAGAAGTGATGGTAAATTGGATAATAAAAATAAATGTTATAAGTTAGGGCAGAATTTCTGAAACTTAGCACTATTGATATTCAAAGATTAATTCTTTGTTGTGGGGAGCTATGCTGTTCATTATAGGATTTTATTAACATCCTTGTCTACTCACCAGATGTCAGTAGAAACCTCTTCCACTAGTTGTGACTATCAAAAATAAAAACTGTCAGGCTCTAAACAAGTGATTCTCAGCTGTGGGGATTTTACTCTCCAAAGAACATTTAGTATTTCTCTATGCTTTATTTCATTCTAATGTCACATGGACCATATAAAATAGGTAATGTATTTTGCAAATGAGGAAAATGAATCTTAGGGAAGTTAAGTAAATTTCTCAAAGTAACACAGCTGTCTAGTGGCACAACGAAGATTGCAATTTTATATTTTATCTTCAAAATAGTGCTTTTGACTAGGGCTTTTCTTTTTGACCAGTGGTTTTCAAACTTTGGTGTGAACTAGATCCAACACAAATTGTTAGGACCCATCCCCAGAGTATCTAGATTAGAACCCAACAATCTACATTTTTTTTTTTTTTTTTTTTTTGAGACAGAGTCTCACTCTGTCACCCAGGCTGGAGTGCAGTGGCGTGATCTTGGCTCACTGCAAGCTCCGCCTCCCGGGTTCACGCCATTCTCCTGCCTCAGCTTCCCGAGTAGCTGGGACTATAGGCGCCCCCGACCATGCCCGGCTAAATTATTTTGTATTTTTAGTAGAGACGGGGTTTCACCGTGTTAGCCAGGATGGTCTCCATCTCCTGACGTCGTGATCCGCCCGCCTCGGCCTCCCAAAGTGCTAGGAGTACAGGCATGAGCAACTGCGCCGGCCAACAATCTGCATTTTTAACAAGCTCCCAAAGTATGCCGATGCTGCTGTTCCAAGGAAAACACGTTGAGACTTATGGGCCTAGACTCTATTGAAATGTAGCTTGCTCCACATTTTGCAGTGTGTCCAAGGACTTCAAAACAGCACAACCTTTCCCCGGTCATGAATAATTTGTGTAATTGTAGTTCCTCTAAGGGTTGAGGATTGTGACAATAAACAATGAATTTGTGACAATAGGTGGTGAGACTGACTCTGTAAGGTATTACTTATTGTTCATGCTCCATTAGAATGCCTTCCTTGAGATATATTTTTACGAAAGTAAAAAAAGTTGAATCAGATCACGTATTACTTCATTTTCATGCTCCTCATAAAGACATACCCCAGACTGGGCAATTTACAAAAGAAAGAGGTTTATTGGACTTATAGTTTGACGTGACTGAGGAGACCTCCCAATCATGGTGAAAGGTGAAAGGCACATCTCAGATGGCAGCAGAAACTCCCCTCCTTAAAACCATCAGATCTCTTGAGACTCATTCCCTATCACAAGAACAGGACAGGAAAGACCTGCCCCCATGATTCAATCACCTCCCACCAGGTCCCTCCCACAACATGTGGGAATTCAAGATGAAATTTGGGTGGGGACATAGTCAAACCATATCAGATCACTACTGGTTCTGAAGCTCATTCATGGTATAACTTCGGGAAGATTTCAGCTCCCCTATTGCATTTTTAACTACCTTATCTATAACATAAGGGTTCTTAAAAATAGATGATCCGCTCCAGCAGTCTATATTCCATTATCGGTGTACCATTATTAATGCATTTAAATTAAAATGAAAAAGTCAATGACATTTCTTATAATTCTCTTCAGTGATACCTGGGTAGCCATGCATTTATACAATATACTGTCATCAGTAAACTTCGGGTGCTGCCAATAGGATCTCAAGCTCTTGTTTTTCCTCACTATCCAGCTGAGGAATTTTATTGCTCATTACTTTGAGAATAAACTGTGTTATTGTTATATCCCCACTACCCTCTTCTTTAGTAGCAAATGTCTTCAAATCCTGTTTTCAAGTTCTTAATACTATATTTCAGAACTTACACTGCTTTTCATATTAATGTGTCAATCAAAAAATCTAAATTTTAATTATGTAGTAATTTGATAAAGGTCAGGAGATTTTTCTTTCTTTCCTCAGTTGATATAAATGTGCAGTCTGGCTGAAGAAAATAGCTTCATCCTTTGGCAACATAAAAACGTTATTCCCTCTCTGATCAGCTGGAGAACATTTCTGTCACCTGTAAATAAATTGTTTCTAATGTTATTGGTCATGTAAATTCCCATCAGCTTTTGTGAGTCACTTATCTGTAGCAAGAAGAGATCAAATCATTTAGATACAGAATTATACAATGGCAACAAAAGGAAGAGATATTAATGGTTTTGTGTTTGCTTTTTCTGTGACTCACAGTTTGTGTACTTTTTGATCAGCAAAGACTGTGTCTGTGTCTGTGTCTGAACAAGGGGTCTCTGAGCAATAAAGTGATAGAAACCACATGGAGACCATTGCTATAATTTTCCCAAACATAAATGCAAATTGTAAGCAACTTGTCTAAATCATCTGGAATCTCTTTAATGCAGAGACTGCTACTGTTAGCCGCAACACATCTCAATTTCAGAAAAAACATTACCAAGGAAATGGCAGATTGTACAAGTGAGAAAATAGAAAATTATGACAAATTCTCCATTGTGATTTCTATACTCACTGAAACTGTTTTCCAGAAAAAGTTGTTCATATTAGCGCTGAAATAAAAACAATATAATAACATTAGAGAAGAGTGGAAATGTAGTACTAATAACAAGAATGACCCTAGATTAGAGCCCTGGCTTTGCCACCCACAAGTTGCATAACTATTAAATGTTATTTGACTTCTTAGTCTTTTAATTTTCTCATCTGCAAAATGTGGGTAAGAGTAGCACCTATATTATAGCAATTGTGTTATATCTGAGGAAACTTTAGAGTAACTTGTACAACACATAATATATTCTCAATAAATATACGTTACTATTGCTGAAACATCAGTTTTTGTCAAATTTGTCTTATCCTGTGTCCTCTTTGTACAGAATTCATAAAACATTAAGGGTAAAAATAAATTAATTTGGATTAAAAAGTTTATCACCCTTCCAGAAAGATTTTTCTTTACTTTGATTAAATTGATTTCAACACATCCTTTCTTAATGTATGTTATTTACCTACCACAAGTGATAAGGGTTAGAAGAAAAAGAAAAGAAAGCTGAGACCATGATGTCAAAATCATTAAATGTATTTAGGTTTAAAGAAATATTCTCATCCATACAGTGGTAATCATAAAACTTGCTTTATCTATACTTATAGTCATATTGTGGACAATAATATAAGGTTATTGCCCTATTCATTCAAGATCAGATTTCCAGTGACTAAATAAGGGTACTAATATACATAATCGCACTATTTAAAGAACAGAACGAAAGACTCAATAGGATTGAACATGTGCAGAAATTATCTCAAAACACAACCCACTCAGAAAAAGATCTTTAATTTTGTGACATAATATTTGGGTACGACTTCAAGCTTAGCCAAAGTTGAGCATCACCTTTAAATAACAGACTGGCGGCTTTGAACATGTACGCCATAAGGTATTTTGATGGCAAGCACTGTTAATAATTGACAAGAGGTATTGGAAAGAAAGAAATCGTAGTAAGAATGTGCCAATGGGTCTGCAATATCACTCAGGGACATGAGATGCTGATTTTAGTAACCAAAGTTGATTTTCTAACAGGGGTCTCATTCAACTGCTTTCATTAGTCACTGTTGTGGAATTCAAGAAAAACTGTAAAATGTATATGAGATTAGAATTGAGAAAGAGATTAATTTCCTCTAAGTATTCACATTTAAAATCCTTCAGTACCATGTGGGGCCAAACTACATGTTTTCAATAGCTAGATTAGATCCCTGAGCTAAAAAGATTATAGGCACAAAGATTAAAATCCCAGACATATTCCTAGAGAAGGGAAGAACATACAAATTTAGACCCACAGGTCACACAAGATCCTAATGAATTTCTTGTCTGTTCTCACTATTGATGGCTTACAAAAACTAAATCATGTAGATTTCATATACTAAAGAGGGAAAATGTGCAATTTCACTTTTTCTATTCTATAGCTAATTACAAAGGGGTTGAAACTAGCCACAAGCTGCTAAGGGATCACTTTCTCAAGAAGTAGATAAATGCTGAATATGTATAAAATCTTTGCTATCATTAAATACATAAATGAAAAGAACAAAGGAGAAAATAATACACTTACGGCCGGGTGCAGTGGCTCACGCCTGTAATCCCAGCACTTGGGAGGCTGAGGCAGGGGGATCACCTGAGGTCAGGAGTTCAAGACCAGCCTGGCCAACATGGTGAAACCCTGTCTCTACTAAAAATACAAAACTTTGCTGGTTGTGGTGGCAGGTGCCTCTAATCCTAGCTACTTGGGAGGCTGAAACAGGAGAGTCACTTGAACCCTGGAGGTGGAGGTTGCACTGAACTGAGCTGGCATCATTGCACTCCAGCCTGGGTGACAAGAGCAAAACTCCATCTCAAAACAAAACAAAAAGAATACACTTACAGAAATCTTTCTAGCGAATACACTTCATTCTTTTCTTTTTTAATTTTATTACTTTTTTCTTTCACATTTTGTTTTTTTTGTGCGTGTTCCTTTTTCCTTTTTTTATTATACTTTAAGTTTTAGGATACATGTACATAACGTGCAGGTTAGTTACATATGTATACATGTGCCATGTTGGTGTGCTGCACCCATTAACTCATCATTTAACATTCGGTATATCTCCTAATGCTATCCCTCCCCCATCTCCCCACCCAACAACAGACCCTGGTGTGTGATGTTCCCCTTCCTGTGTCCATGTGTTCTCATTGTTCAGTTCCCACCTATGAGTGAGAACATGCGGTGTTTGGTTTCTTGTCCTTGTGATAGTTTGCTGAGAATGATGGTTTTCAGCTTCATCCATGTCCCTACAAAGGACGTGAACTCATCATTTTTTATGGCTGCATAGTATTCCATGGTGTATATGTGCCACATTTTCTTAAACCAGTCTATTATTGTTGGACATTTGGGTTGGTTCCAAGTCTTTGCTATTGTGAATATTGCCGCAATAAACATACGTGTGCATGTGTCTTTATAGCAGCATGATTTATAATCCTTTGGGTATATACCCAGTGATGGGATGGCTGGGTCAAATGGTATTTCTAGTTCTAGATCCCTGAGGAATCACCACACTGACTTCCACAATGGTTGAACTAGTTTACAGTCCCATCAACAGTGTAAAAGTGTTCCTATTTCTCCACATCCTCTCCAGCACCTGTTGTTTCCTGACTTTTTAATGATTGCCATTCTAGCTGGTGTGAGATGGTATCTCATTGTTTTGATTTGCATTTCTCTGATGGCCAGTGATGACAAGCATTTTTTCATGTGTCTTTTGGCTGCATAAATGTCTTCTTTTGAGAAGTGTCTGTTCATATCTTTTGCCCACTTTTTGATGGGGTTGTTTGTTTTTCTCTTATAAATTTGTGGGAGTTCCTTGTAGATTCTGGCTATTAGCCCTTCATCAGATGAGTAGATTGCAAAAATTTTCTCCCATTCTGTAGGTTGCCTGTTCACCCTGATGGTAGTTTCTTTTGCTGTGCAGAAGCTCTTTAGTTTAATTAGATCCCATTTGTCAATTTTGGCTTTTGTTGCCATTGCTTTTGGTGTTTTAGACATGAAGTCCTTGCCCATGCCTATGTCCTGAATGGCGAATACACTTCATTCTAACCGATTTGCTTTTTAAATTCTCCTAATCATTTTGCAAAGACCAGTAACCTAACCAAAACTATTAACTACCTGCCTATATATTTTGAACTGTCCATTAATTTTGGATTTAAGCTTCTAGTTTTATATGCAAATAAATTTATTTACTTATTTCCCCCCAAAAACCTGTAATTTGATATCTTGCCATAAATTCTCATAGTACATCAAAGTCTGAACTTCAGGGCATACTCTATTAGTAAAAATGATAATAATAGTAATTATGATTTATTGAGCATTTACTATATGCCTAATATTTTTACATATTTTATTTTATTCTTCCACCAAGTTTGTGACATAAATTCTATTTTACAGATGACAAAACTGAGACTGAAATACTAGAAACTTTTGATTCAGGTACCAAAGGAAATAAAGAAGAACCAATATTAAATACAGGTATGACTGACTCCAAAACCTGTATTTCCTGGAGACACAGGGACTATGTAGAGGTGACTCAGCATCCCCTGAAATGGGGATAGGTACAGAAAAAGGGGTGCCAACAGCTGGGCCTCCGATCTTAACTTCTACCAGAGCAACTAATTTATTATTGGCTTATATACTGGATTTGTATATTTTCTGAATAAGGATTTAGTTGCTAAAATATTTTTAAAACCACTCTTTTTTTTTTTTTTTTTAAGATGGAGTCTCACTTTGGCACCCAGGCTGGAGTGCAGTGGTGTGATCTTAGCTCACTGTAACTTCCGCCTCCCGGGTTCAAGCAATTCTGTGCCTCAGCCTCCCGAGTAGCTGGGACTGCAGGTGTGCACCACCACTCCTGGCTCATTTTTGTATTTTTAGTAGAGACAGGGTTTCATCATATTGGTCAGGCTGGTCTCGAACTCCTGACCTCATGATCTGCCCACCTCAGCCTCCCAAAGTGCTGGGATTATAGGCGTGAGAAGCAAACATGTTTTGGGATAAAAATGGGTATCATTATTCTCTCATTATTTCTTTAATATACTCACATTGTTTTGTCTTTAACAGATTAAATGCTACTTTAAAAAGTAATCTCAAAATTACCTTGCTATAAAAAACTTTCCCTCACCTCCTGACTCCTCTTAGCTTCAGGCTAGATTGTGATCAAAGGCCTTCCACCAGGTTCACTTTGGGCACATTATTCCAGGTCATTATTTCTGTGATTGCCATTTTAATAGCTTGATTCTGAAGTTTTTAAATTCTTCTCATCTATTTAATACAAAAATTTCTTTTATGTTTTAGAATAGGAACATGTAGGAGAAGACAAACTATGTTTCTCTGAGATTACAGGTCCATCCCGCTCAAAAGAAACCTATTATTTTTTTGATGGAGAATGGGATTTAGGGACAGCGTGTGAGGAATGGAACTGTTACTGTCACTTTGCTGGGCTGGTGCTGCTACCTTAGTGTAATATATGATTCACTCCCTGTCATTTAGTGGTTTATTGCCATTAATGCTTTTAGATACAAACTCCTTCAAAGTTTCTACTGTAAATAAGCCAACATTCTGAGACACTTACAAGTGTCCTGAAGTCAAGGACCTTGTCTGCTTCATTTTTGCATTGCCTTCTCTTCTCCCCGTTATCTAAGACTTTCAAAATTAAGACATTCATAAAATATTTAGAGGAGAGAATGCAGAAATAAGGGTATAATAGAAGGATCAAACACTATTGGATTTATTTGGATTTATTTGTGATTACAAGTAATATAATGGAAATTGTATTGGCTGGGCTCCGTGGCTCACGCCTGTAATCCCATCACTTAGGGAGGCCGAGGCAGGCGGGATCACGAGGTCAGGAGATCCAGACCATTTGTGCTAACACGGTGAAACCCGTCTCTACTAAAAATACAAAAAATTAGCCGGGCGTGGTGGCAGGCACCTGTAGTCCCAGCTACTCAGGAGGCTGAGGCAGGAGAATGGCGTGAACCTGGGAGGCGGAGCTTGCAGTGAGCCGAGATTGCGCCACTGCACTCCAGCCTGGGCGACAGAGCAAGACTCTGTTTCAAAAACAAAAAAAAAATTAAAAAAAAAAAGAAATTGCTTTGTATTTATGTGTAGTGTATGCGTGTATGTGTATGATATTTAATGCCTTCTGTTTACACATCTACACATATACATGCATACATATACTACATGAGGGCAAAGTTATCTTTCTTACCACGGTGGTCTCTGCACTTGGGGTGAATGTAGTAAGTTCTCAATGTTTATATGTTAAATGAATAAACTAATTTACACTACTTTCAATTTTTGTATTATAATATATGTAAGGTTATAAGGGAGTAACTGTGTCTACTACAAAGAAACTCTTGTCTACTTTTGCTATACTGCACACTTGTAGTTATTTGACTATAAACTAAATTTGGCACTAAGTTTCTGTACATATTTATGAATTAAGACATGAGAGAACTTCAGAGTGGGGGCAGAAAAGGGCACTTATAATTTGGGACTCATAAAATAATGTTTTTATGAAGACAATAATACCTTGAATGGGTTTTGTACAAATTTATCACATTCTCTTCATGGAAGAGCTTAATGTAAGAGTTGTAAAAGATGCCCAAATGTAAGGCCATCATTCATTTGAGAAAAGAAGACTGAGTGGATAAATAAATGGTCAATGATTTGTTTTATGTCTATAGTAGCTTAACCACAACCTTTATAATATTTTAAGACAAATATATTTATGAAGAGTCATTAATATCTCAGCACATACTTCTATGGCAATGCTGAAATGTCTGTAATATATTTTCAAGCTATTTTTATTTGGTAGTAAAACAATTGTCAGATAACATTTGTAGCCAAATCTACTTCATCTTGAAATAAAAATGAGTTTTAAGATAATATTACCAACTTTTATTAAGAAACATATATTTTTAAATGACTGTCATTGATGATAACTATATTCACAAATTGTTAAGCCCTGAGAAACAAGGAAACATCATTGTTCTCCCAGATGACTGACTAGTTTAGTTTTTTAAAAAATATAATTAAAATGCAGCCATTATAATCCTTAGGGGTCATGACTACTTAAATTCAACTTAACTGATTCCATTTAATTTCTCAGCTGATCTAAGTTTTAGAAACATTTAGTTTCATGAAATGCTTTTCTTTTTATAGTGCCTTGTAGGGAGCCCTGGCATATGTTATTTTTGCATATGTCACCAAACAACTGGGTTATCAGTTTTATTTCTTCCGTATTTCCTTTTAACACCATTTAAAAATATACACAACAGCAGATAGAGACTATGTTTTACATTGCATAATTTGAGATTTTTTTCAGTAGTGATAAAATTTCTCTAATACTGTCTTGGAAAAAATCCTTCACTTTTGTTTAAAACAGCTACATGAAGAGAAATGAACTTAAACCCTATTTTCTTTCTTACGCTCTTATGTCTGATGTCAAAGCCAAAAAACGATGCAAAGGAAGTTGTGCTATGTGAAATTTCTAGTATACTTTGTGACTATATTATTGAACACTAAATAAACTTAAGCAACTCTACTTACCACCAAGGTGACTGGGAATGGAAAATCAGATACTATTATTGAATAGTTGAATCATATAGCTATCCCTTTGTCCTTGATTTGTTCATCTCTTTATTTTCCCTGTCCTATATAGCTAGACAATAAAAGAAGCCTTTATAGGTGAATGAGTTGTTAGAACTATGTAAATACTGTAATTATTCTAGGACAATAGGATAATTTTGTATAAGCAGTAGTTAACATGTTTATGACATGTGCCAAAATATCTGTTTTTCTAATGCCTTATTTGATGAGGAACATTTTCTTTAATTAACATAAAAAATACTTTCTTGCCATGGTTTTATGAGCCTGCTAGCACAGTCCTCATTTAAAAGATAATACAATAAGAGGCATAAGATCTAGTTTTTTCTCAAGGATATGCAACTTAAAAAGCCTTCACTTGAATTTAGTTTTCCTGATGCTCCCTGATGCCTATTATTCTAAATTATGGTTAACAAAGTGATATAGAAATTCCTTGTACTTAGCAACACATTTATTATAATATTTCCAAACAATATATATAATTATACTACTGCTATATTGTCTAATAAGGAAAGTAAAGCAATTTAGATCTTATTCTGGAATCCATCACCAACTCAAAAGATTTGAAACCAGTCATGAATTTAAAACTGTACTCACATTAAGCCGCATTATTATTATTGTTTAATTATCTGTCTCCTTTAGAATATTAGCTACATGAAGGTAAGAACTTTGCCTGGTTTACTCACAATTATATTCTAAATGTTTCACTAGAATAAGCACATAGTAAATTCTCACTAAGAATTTATTAATCAAATGAATAAAGACATTAACTCTAGGGGAGAAGAATACACACCACACAGAATTTTATTAAACCAAGGTGTTCCAGAAGGTAAGAAGAAATCAAGGGGGAAAATAATCTGATTGTCCCCAAATGGTCTTCGTTTGACTTCATTCATTAGTTATTTTTGTTATTTTGGCAATGTTCTAAAGATTCCAGTAAAATGAAACAACTCAGTAATTGAACTCAGTGAACTGTTGGGCAAAATGAAATTGGCAAATATATGAACAGACTCATTTTGGCATAGTACATTGTAATAACAAAGTTGCTCTGCTCATTTGAGCATTTGGTTATTAATAAAGTTCTCCAAGCAATTATGCAGTTCTCTTACTGTGCATTTCTACTAAAGTACAAATTCTAATTTTATGTCTGGAATCAAGATCCTACAGCTTAACTTTTAAGATCTGTTCCTTATCTCCGTTAATATAGGTGATAACTGATAAATATGAGTCATTGACAAGTGCATACGGCTATTGTATCTCACTAAATGTGTAAGATCCAAATCTCTTGGCTATTAAATTTAGTACAGACATCAGCAGATAATTAGAAGCCAACTCTTTGAAAGGAACTGGAGTGGCCTAGAGCTAATATTCTGTGGTTTATCAATCGTACACGATAATTTATCTCCAAATTTTTGCATTATAATTCAAATTTAAACACTTACATGACTCAGAGTATCAACAAATATGGTGAAATATTTCTCTAGCCTACATTTTCTAGTCTTATTTAACTTCAGGTGGATTCAAACTGTTAACTTTATATAATATGTAAATATTACTTTATATATTTTCTATCGCAACTGTAATTTGAACATTAACTGGTGAGAAAGTAACTTGAAATCTTGCATATTTTAAAATTATTTAGAATTTGTTTGTAGTTGTAAAGGCTTAAACAATGTTCCATAAAATAATACTGGAAATATTTTATTTACGTTTCTCTTAACATGAGTTTTATATATGTATCTTGAAAGTCGAGGTATAGCTGATGATACAGTTTGAGGCCCATGATAGCTGAAGAATTTGGATGATCACCTACGGATCCCCATAGATGAGGTTTATTAGACACTTTCCTCAGAAATTTTGAGATCTCTCTTGGCTGCCTTATTGGGGAATTAACTCAGTGTCTTAGGCCTGTTATGTCCTATAAGTTGAGGTAAATAAGCCCATTTCCTCCTTAACAGAGGAACGTGTATATTCTTACTTTCATTTTAAGATAGATAATTCAGTTTTTAAGCATTTCTGTGTGTGTGCCTGCACGTGGGCATGTGTGTGTTGTATGCTGTCAGCCTAAGACCACTTGACTAGTTTTATAAAGTTGTTTCCTATTTGTTGAACAAATTCAATTTGTACCATGGCTCAAATGCAGTACATATTTATTTCTTGCTGTGTAATATCCAAGATGTATGATCCTGGCAGGCTGAGTGGTCTCATTTCAAGGGTGATTCAAGATCCTCAGTTATCTTGTGTCTTGTAGTGTTGCAGCTTTAGCTGGTGGCTTCCATAGTTACTGTGCTTATTTTTCTCAAGACAGCAGAAAGAGGTAAGAGCCTAGAGGTTTATACCTGCATCAGGAAGGTTTTTAATGGGCCAGACATAAAGATCGTTTATATGACTTCTCTCTCCCTATAATTCAATATTCAGAATTCAGTCACTTGATATCATAAGTTGAATTCTCTGCCACTGCCTACCCCGGAACCCCACCAATTTATATGTTGAAATCTGAACTCGTAGTATCTCAGAATGTGACTTTCATGCAGGTAATCAAAGTGAGGTCACTGCGGGGGGCTCTAACCCAATATAACTGGTGTTCTTATTTAAAAAAAAAAGGCAATGTGAACACAGAGACACACATAGAAGGAAGACAATATGAAGAGACAGAGAGAAGATGGCCTTTTACAAGCCAAGTAAGAGAAGCTTGGAATAGATCCTACCCTACAAGCCCTTGGGAGGAACCAACTCTGCCAGCACCTTGATTTTGAACTTCTAGCCTTTAGAACTGTGTCAATATATTTCTGTTATTTAAGTCACCCAGTTTGTGGTACTTTGTTGTGGCTGCCCTAACAGCCAGATACACCTAAAAATAACTAACTGCAAAAAAGAAGTTTGGAAATATAGTCTAAAATATAAAGTACCTTTACAAATCCAGCCATGGCTAGGTGTGGTGGCTCATGCTTGTAATCCCAGCACTTTGGGAGGCCAAGGCGGGTGGATCACGAGGTCAGGAGATTGAGACCATCCTGGCTAACACAGTGACAGCCCGTCTCTACTAAAAATACAAAAAATTAGCCGAGTGTGGTGGCGGGCGCCTGTAGTCCCAGCTACTCGGGAGGCTGGGGCAGGAGAATGGCGTGAACCCGTGAGGCAGAGCTTACAGTGAGCCGAGATGTGCCACTGCACTCCAGCCTGGGTGACAGAGCGAGACTCCATCTAAAAAAATAAATAAATAAAAATAAAAATCCAGCCACAATTTACTTTTCTAGTTTCTTGTTTTCTACCTTGAATTCTGTAATCCATAAATTCTGGAATTATTCTTTTCTAAATACACTTCTCTTTGCCTTTGCATTAGTTATTCTTTCTAAGGCACTTCCTAAAATGATCTTGAGTTTTCATCCTATTCATCAGTCAAGTTGTAGCTCAAATGCAATTAGGTATTGTGGGCAGAGTCATAAACTTTTTTTTCTTGGGGCTTATACATTGTCTTTACCTTTCTTCAGTACTAGATATGTTTTTCCCTTTAGACTATGCCTTGGCTGAGGTCAGGGACTAGATTGTGTCTTCTCTCATTCCCAAGTGCCTAGCACATTGACTGATGTGCAGTTGGCATTCAGTAACTACTTGTTGAATGGATGTTGAATGAATACAAGTTTATGTCAACCCCCCAGAATCTGGAGGGGATGTTAGGAATGAGTAAATAAATTGCTTGTAAACTTTGGATATATTTTTCCTGGGTTATTCAAGGTTCTTTGTTTCTTGCCACACATTTAATTCCTGTGTGGTTGTTCAGTCTAGACACAGACAATGTAAAGGGTGATTTGGTCTCAAGAATGCCTCCTGTTGCTTTGCCTTTGCATGCCCGCCCAGAAAGTAGCCTTTCATTAGACTTTAAAGAACACTCCTCAAATCCAGCTGAACAGTCCTGGACTGTATGTCCTTGTTGTTACCTGTTTTCTTGGTTGTCCCATTAGAATACTTGGTGCCTGCAGAGGGCTGAGACTACTTCTTGAAACAGGAGCAAGAATATGAAGAATCCAGTGTCATTCAGGAGTATTTACTGTCCCAGAAAAGCCCAGAAAGCATCATCAAAGGTTAGAACCAAAGCTGATAGTGATAAAAGACTATCCCGCCTGGAGAGGTAAAGGCACCAAGGTCATAAAGAAAACGAGAGGTGAAAATATTTTTATTTGAGATAAAATAGAGTTGGAAATGTGGTGGAGAGGAACGAAGGTTTTTTTTAATATTATTATTTTTCAAGACTGCAGTAGGATTGTATGAGATATTAATGTCCCTCAACTGTACAGGATTCTTGAGTAGCTCTGGGAATTGGGAAGTCTCCAATTTACAACCTCTCTTCTCTGTTCTTAACAGCAATTTAACCAAGCTCCTGTTAGCAAGAGACACTTAAGCAACAGAAATCCTAGAGGAGATTTTTAAGCCCATAGTAAATATAATACAATTCTCCTGCATAAAAACAAAGGATTATTAATGCTATGCTGTTGGTAAAGTCTCATTTTACAACTGATGTAACTTTCTGTATTAAACCAGCCCCACCAGCACTGGAATGAGCCAAGCTCGGGCATCATTTATCACTAACCATTGTGGGTGCACCAACCATAGAGCCAGCCCTCAATTTGACCCTTTCAAAGGTTTGCCCCCTGTGTGAGTGGAGGTTTTTATCTGTAGACATGCTGATCTTTTTCAGGATTTAAATTTATTTTCGTGACATGGTTTGTGGCTCCTGTCTCTAGGTGCTTGTTCTCTGAAGTGAGAGCCTGCCTCTGCAATGCACCTCCCGTAGCAGATCATATCCTTTTGGCAGTTTGTAGCACCGGCTCCTTTACAACTCTTAAATCTCAGTTTATGACCCATTTACCTGAAAAATTCATAATTAGTTGAATTGCTAATTTTGCCTTTTGCTGACTCACCCAGGGATGTATGTCATGAGCAGATGGTATTGCATTGCCGAATGAGCCATTGATTGATTCATTTTGTTGTGGGTTTTTGTTTTGTTCTGTTTTTATAGGTTGCTTTTACAGATTTGAAGACACAACACCACTCTTTTCCTTTTCAAGATAAAAGCCTACATTGAAATGGGCAACATTATTTTTCTTTCTTTTTTCCTTCTTTTTCTTTCTCTCCTATCCTCCCCATTTTTTTTCTTTTTTAAAAATAAATCAGCTTGTAGAAAGCAGTGGAATCATGACTTCAGAGAAGCAAGTTCTTCCCTCACATCCAGAATGAATGGTTAATCAGAGTTTTTTTCCCACTGTTATATTTCTCTATTCTTGAGGTACGAGATCAGTGGTAGATTACAGTCATATATCCTATATGAGTCCATGCCAATGCAGCTGTAAATGCCAGCTTAGATTTATTAAATTCCATCATTCCTTCAATAAATATTTATTGAGTGCCTACTATGTCCTTGTAGACACCTAGTTGGAGATGTGAGAATACAGAGTAAAAAAGAAAGACTATCTCTTCTCATCTTAAGCTTGCTTTTTATATTCCTTGGACTCCATTATGGTAAGGTAGATTCACTGAAAGTTTGCAGACTTTGAAATCAATGAAACTGAACTTAAGTTTCACCAGATATTAGCAGCATGATCTTACAACATTGTTGGAAAAATAATAACATAGTAGTTTTTATGTCTTTTGGAATCAGATCAGCTTTTATTTATGGCTTTGTGACCTTAGCCAAATTGGTTAACTTCTCTTAGTCTCAGGTTTTCTCACTTGTATAGAGGTGACATTAATATCTCATCCCATTCCAGACAATTGCTGGCCAAAATCAGGAATATATATGAAGTAGATCGTACACATGTCTCAGTATGTAAAAGGTATAAGGCAAGCTAACATACTGTTCAATAAAATGTGTTTTTTATTCTTACCTTAATATCTTCATAATTACCTGAAAGTTCAATTTAAGATTTAAAATTCTTGAACTCCTTAAAGTTCTGAACAAGCAGAGGTAGCTCATTCCTAGTCTGCTGTCTTTGGCCCATAGGCATCTCTTTCCACTGCCAGCTCATTTGGTTAGCACGAGACCTCAGATATACACAGGTGAAAATCAGAGCCCATGCATGCTCCATCTATAACCCCAAAACAACTGTTCCCTGACTTCTTCCTGGCCAAAGGGTTCATCCAGCAAGGATATAATCTACCCCTGGGGGATGAACCTCAAGAATATGCACTTGCATGCTCTGAAAGTGGGTAATAAAAAGTCTTAGTTCTGTGCTGGAATCATAGTAAATAACTATATGAGTGGGGACTCATTAAATATCAGTCATAGAATAATAACAATTTTGTCTACTCCAAAAGTGTAATAACGTATTTATAACTGCTATCTTGGTGCCTGAGATTTAGAATTTTTTTTTTTTTTTTTTTTTTGAGACGGAGTTTTGCTCTCGTTACCCAGGCTGGAGTGCAATGGCGCGATGTTGGCTCACCGCAACCTCTGCCTCCTGGGTTCAAGTGATTCTCCTGCCTCAGCCTCCCAAGTAGCTGGGATACAGGTATGCGCCACCACACCCGGCTAATTTTGAATTTTTAGAAGAAGCAGAGTGTTTCCGTGTTGTTCAGGCTGGTCTTGAACTCCCAACCTCAGGTGATTTGCCCACCTCGGCCTCCCAAAGTGCTGGGATTACAGGGGTAAGCCACCATGCCCAGCTGAGGTTTAGAAATGTTTTAAAAAATGTTTTGGTTCACAGTTGATGCCAATGCCAGAAGAACCAGTGGACTTAACAGCCTCAAGGATATATTCAGCTCTGGGACCATGCCAAGCTCTGCAGACATTTGAAGGCAGTTTTTCATTTTTGCAATACATTTTGGGGATGGGGACAGAGAGCTTTGCCCTGAGAACAAGGAGGAAAACATCACTGTATTTATATCAAATACCAAGTTTCCATGAAATTGCTCATCCTTTAATTTTAATTTATGCCGTCACAGAGGTACACTCTTAGGAAAACTGGCTTATTCTACTTACCAAAATGAGATGAATGGGTGAGATGTAACAGCAGCCTGATGAATGAAAACATATTTTTGTGACATTAACATAGTTAAAATTCACTATTTCTCCCCACAAACACCCACATTTCCTGATAGCTTGTGGCATATTAAGAGGCACACTTCAATCCTTAGAACAACCATGCCAAAAAGTAAATATATTTGAAAGGCATACAGTATACTATCTATTTAACAAGCATACACAAAAAGTAAAAGAGGAAAAGGAAAAAAAGCATCAGATATGTAGAAAACAAATAGAAAAATGCTAAACATATGGTGAATGACTGAATGAATCTCCTCTAAAATCAGGACAAATCAAAGGGATCTGTTTGTGTCATTACTATTTACTATTGTGCTGCTAGTGAAGTAAGGGAAAGAGGAAAAAAAGTCATCGGATTGACAAAAAGAAGCAACACTGTCTGTAATCTCTAACAGTATAATGCTCTATGTATAAAATCTTAAGAAATACCATAGAAAACACACACACACACCCCTACCTCAAATGTAATAGAGAAGTTCAGCAAGGTCACAGGATAAAAATCCAATGTTTCTATATATTAACAACACACACACCAAATGTGAAATTATGAAAATTATTCCAATCATAATAGTAAAAAATAGATGCTTTACAATAATTTTAACAAAATTCCAAGAGCTGCACTGAAACCTACACAACATTGCTGATATATAAATTAGTAGAGAGGCATTCTTTCTTCATGGAGTTGAATACTCAATATTATTAAATTGGCAATTCTCTCCAAATTGATACACAGATTCAATGTAATTCCTATAAAAATTCAGCAGATTTTTTATCTGCAGAAATCAACAAGCAGATCTAAAAATTTACATATAAAGGATTGAGAGTAGTCAAAATCATTTTGAGGAAAAAATAAAGGTGGATGACCTATACTTCCTAAAGTCAGAGCTTAGTATAAAGTACAGTGTTGTCTTAGTTAACAAAACAACATCGTGCTTGCCTGAGAATAGTCACACATAGAAATAGAACAGAATTAAAAATAAAAAATGGGCCAGGCGCAGTGGCTTACACCTGTAATCCCAGCACTTTGGGAGGCTGAGGTGGGCAGATCATGAGGTCGGGAGTTCAAGACCAGCCTGTCCAGAATGGTGAAACCCCCTATCTACTAAAAAAATACGAAAAATTGGCTGGGCATGGTGGTGTGCGCCTGTAATCCCAGCTACTTGGGAGGCTGAGACAGGAGAATTGCTGAAACCCAGGAGGCGGAGGTTGCAGTGGCTGAGATCTCGTTACTGCACTCCAGCCTGGACGACACAGCAAGACTCCGTCTCAAAAAAAAAAAATTAAATAAGTAAATAATGAAGCCTCATGCTTAAGGTCAATTGATTTTTGATGATGGTGACAAATCGACTTAATGGAAAAAGTACATACTTTTTAACAAATTGTGCAGAGGAAATTGGATATAAAAAAGATAAATTTAGAGCTACCACACACTATTCATAAATATTAATTAAAATGAAGTACATATGTAAATCTAAGTGTTAAAACTGTAAGTCTTGTAGAATAAAACATGAGAGGAAATCTACATGACCTTGTGTTAAGAAAAAAGTTTGCACATATGACATCAAAAGCATGACCCATAAAATGTATACAGTAAATATTTGGACTTCCATCAACTTCAAAAACCTTTGGCACTTGAAAAATAAATATTAAGAAAACAAAAAGACAAGCCACAGGCTGGCAGAAAATGTTTATGTGTTATATCTCTGATAAATGACTTGTATCCTGAACATATAAATACCTCTTACAACCCAATAATGAGAAAACAATCCAGTTAAAAATAGAGATTTTTGTCTTAATTTAGGAAGCTATAACAAAGTACCATAGGCTAGGGTGTTTATACACAACAGAAATGTATTTCTTGGAATACCGAAGGTTAGAAGTCTGAGATTAGGGTGCCAGCATGGTTGAGTTCTTGTGAGGTTCCTTCTCTGGGTCGCAGACTGCCAACTTGTCATTGTATTATTTGGCAGAAAGGGAATGTGAGAGTTCCCTGGGATCTTTTATATAATGGCACTAATTCCATCCATGAGGGCTTCACCCTCATGATCTAATTATCTCCTGAAGATCTCACTTACCAATACTATCACATAGGGGTCATGTTTTCAACCTATGAATTTTGGAAGGTATTAACATTCAGTCTGTAAGAGATTTGAATAGACATTTTACCAAAGAAAATATAGAAGGTCAATAAATACACCAAGGAATGTTCAACATTCTTAATCATTAGGGAACGTAAATTAATATCAATGAAATAATGCTTCATGCTCACTAGAATGGTTATAATAAAAAGAGAGTAACAAATGTTAATAAGAATGTGGACAAACTGGAACCCTCCATAAGTGCAGATTGGAATGCAATGTAATGTAGTTGCTTTGGAAAATAGTTTGCAATTTTTTTGAAAGTTAAAAATAAATGTACTATATGGCCTCATGATTCTATTCCTAGGAATCTATCCAAGGTAAATTAGACCACAAAAATTTTTGTATTTGACTGCTCATAGCAATGTTAGCCCCAAACTGAAAATAGTCCTAATGTTCATCAACTGGTGTATGGATAAACAAAACGTGTTTTATCTGTGCAATGGAATACTATTTAGTCATAAAAAGTATATGCTCTAAATCAATGAATCCCCAAAACATGCTAAATTAAAGAAGTCGGACACAAAAGACTACATATTCTATAATCCCGTTTATGTGAAATGCTCAAGAAAGAAAAATCTGTAAAGACAAAGTAGATAAATGGTTGACTGGGGCTGAGTATGACAGTAGAGATTTACTCTATGAACCCCGAATATCTGAGATAGGTCTCAGTTAATTTAGAAAGTTTATTTTGCTAAGGTTGAGGACGTGCGCCCATGACACAGCCTCAGGAGGTCCTGACGACATGTGTCCAAGGTGGTCGGAGCACAGTTTGGTTTTATACATTTTAGGGAGACACAAGACATCAATCAACATATGTAAGATGAACATTAGTTCGGTCCAGAGAGGTGGGACAACTTGGAGTGGGGAGGGGTCTTCCAGATCATAGGTACGTCAGAGACAAATTGTTGCACTGTTTTGAGTTTCTGAGTAGCCTCTCCAAAGGAGGCAATCAAATATGCATTTATCTTAGTGAGCAGAGGGGTGACTTTGAATAGAATGGGAGGCAGGATTGCCCTAAGCAGTTTCCAGCTTGACTTTTCCCTTTAACTTAGTGATTTCGGGGCCCCAAGATTTACTTTCCTTTCACGACTGCAAATAGACACAAGCAATCTCTTTGGAATAATGAAAATGTTCTAAATGTGGATTGTGGTGATAGTTGCATAGCTCTATATGTTTACTAATACTTATTGAATATACATTTAAGACAGTTGCAATTAGAAAAGAACTTTAAATTATCTCAGTTCTCTGCTTCCAAATCAAATTGCAGGTTGAGATAAAGCAACATTTGTTGCAGGCCTTCAATATGTCATACATTCAGTAAGTGCTGAAGAAAAGATATAATCTGGGTCTTTGGGGCTTTGAGGTCTCTCTCTCTCTGTCTCTCTCCCTGTGTCTGTCTGTCTGTCTCTCTTTTTCTCTCTCTCTCTCTCTCTCTCTCTCTCTCTCTCGTGTGTATGTGTGTGTGCGCGCATGCAGCTGTGTTTGCCAGTATTGGACATATGCATCAGCAATAATGCCATACATCTGAAACATTAGTCGATTTTAATATCTTCTCTTTGACGTACTTGTGTTTTCTAAAACTTTTGGCCAGCTAAAGGAAAGGATTTCCTTCTTTAAATCAAACTATGTATTTGGTACTTGTTAAAACTTCAGTTCACAGAGTCCCAATGAACAGAGGCTAGAAGGAGGTAATAGAGAATAATGAACTACAGATTCAGATTTGAAATTATACATAATAAGATTATAATCTCATATTCCCTAGGTTCTACCACTGTTGATTTAGAGGCTTATTAATTAAAGTCTTTGAATTTCAGTGTCTTCTTGGCAAAAAAAAAAAAAAACACCTTGCAGTTTGTAAGAATTAAAGTCACGAGAAAATTGCAAACATAATGCCTATGAGCACTCATTAATATCGAGTCTATTTTCTTTGTTCATTGACTGAGAACTTATCAGAAGCTGCAGCCCTCACATAACTTCAAATTTAGAAATTTCTTTCATTGTAAACTTCTGTGAGTTTTAGTATTAGTTTTTTGTATTAGTTTTTGTATTAGTTTTCTACTGCTATCATAACAGATCACTACAAACTCAGCAGCTTAAAACAACACATTTATCTCATGTTTTCCATGGGTCAAGAGTCTGGTCACGGTCAGGTGGATTCTCTGTTTAGGTCTCAGAGACTGGCTGACACTTTTCTGTACATATAAGCAAACCTTTCTTTTTCTGCTGCTATGATGTTTTAAAAGTTTAGTTATTGTCATGGATTCAGTACATCTACTATCTTCATCACTCTTTTGCACTCCAGATCGTTTTCTCTCAATTGAATAAAAGTGATCTCTAATTGCATGACCCACAGTCATTTCAAAGGAACACATTAATTGTCCTTACCATTCCCTTGACAATCTAAGTATCTGATATATTTTCAAAAAATTTTAAATTGTATATCAATTGACATAAAATTCTAAATTTTAACCAATGGTTATAACCTCTGTTCACTTCTACATGAACATACTTTTATAAAACTATAGTAACCATGGGTTGCAAAGCTTATCATGTGGTATAACTTCCATCACTTAAACTTCATCTTTCTGTTTTGTTGGAGACAGAGTTTTGCTGTGTCACCCAGGCCGGATTGCAGTGGCACAATCTCTGCTCACTGCAACCTCCACCTCCTGCATTCACACGATTCTCCTGCCTCAGCCTCCCGAGTAGCTGGGACTACAGGCACAGGCCACCATGCCCGACTAACTTTGTATTTTTAGTAGAGACGGGGTTTCACCATGTTGACCAGGCTGGTGTCGAACTCCTGACCTCAAGTGATCCACCCACCTTGGCCTCCCAAAGCGCTGGGATTACAGCCATGAGCCACAGCCACAGTGCCCAGCAGAACTTCACCTTTCTTTCTTTCTTTCTTTTTTTTTTTTTTTTGAGACAGGGTCTCTCTCTGTCGCCCAGGCTGGAGTGCAGAGGTGCCATCTCGGCTCACTGCAACCTCTGCTGCCCGGGTTCAATCGATTCTCCTGCCGCAGCTTCCCGAGTAGCTGGGATTACCGGCACCTGCCACCGCGCCTGGCTAATTTTTGTAGGTTCTTTTTAGTAGAGACGGGGTTTCACCATCTTGGTCAAGCTGGTCTTGAACTCCTGACCTTGTGATCCACCGACCTCGGCCTCCCAAAGTGCTGGGATTACAGGCATGAGCCACCGCGCCCGGCCTGAACTTCACCTTTCAAAGGGGGATCCTTTTGATAAATTTCTCTTAGAATTCCTACACTTTTTCTTTCCTTCACTTTCTAACATTCTAATCTTTTTTCTTTAATACCTTTTATCCCCTCAGTCACACAGAGTGTCCAAATATTTTCAAAGAATCTGTTAATTTTCTCCTCACTCCTTCAGATTGGTCTACTTTTCATTCCCACAGCCCTATATTCCAAACTTTCTTTCTCTAGTAAATGATTGGCCATAATGTTTCTCGGGCCCATCAGAGTACCTTTTCTAATAGGTAACGTCTTCTACTCATCTACTCTATTCCTCTTTTGCCTCTTTCTTTGCGTCTCTCTGAGGGGCTTCCGTTCTGCACTCTCTTGTACTCTTAAGCCACACTACATATGAGCATAAAATAGATCTTGTCACCATGAGACTCCCATGCTATATTGATTCTCTAGCAGATGGAGTCTAAACTCAGCCTGACATTCTGTTAGTGGCTATCTCATTCAACTAAAGTTAACTACCACTCTTTACCATTACTATAGCTTAATTCCTAGAAAACCAATATTTATATCAGACTACTGTTATCTCTGTGCTATTTTCATATTTTTTTGTATTAGTTTTCTATTGATACCATAACAGATCACTACAAACTCAGCATGTTAAAACAACACATTTATTATCTCATGTTTTCCATGGGTCAAGAGTCTGGTCATGGTTATGTGGATTCTCTGTTTAGGTCTCAGAGACTGGCTGAATAAAAGTGTTGCCAGGGCTGCAATCCTCATCTGAGGGTCTGGATCCTCTTCCAAACTCACTGATTGTTGAAATATTTCATTACCTTGCAGCTGTTAGCTGTTTTCTTGCTGTCTGTTGGTGGGGGCTGCTCTCAGCTTTTGTAGGCTGCCCCTTGAAATTTTAGAACATATATATTTGATTTCTTCCACAAAGACAATGGATGTGCATATCTCTCTGGCTTTTTCTGCCTTCAGCAAAAGAAAATTCGGCTTGTAAAGATGTCACTTCATTGCATCAGTGTCTTAGTCCATTTTTTTGCCACTATAACAGAATACCTGAGGCTGGTTAATTCATAAACAATAGAAGTTTATTTGGCTCATAGTTCTGGAATCTGAGAAGCCTAAGAACATGGTACCAGTGTCTGGTGTGGTCCTTTGGGCTTTATTATGCCATGGTGGAAGGTGGAAGGGCAAGGGAGTGCAAGAGTGAGAGACAGAACTGAACTCGCTTTTATAGCATCCCACTTCCAATGACAACCACATTAATTCATTCATGAGGATGGAGTCTTCATGGCTTAATCACCTTTTAATAGTCCCACTTCCTAATACAGTCATAATGGCAATTACATTTCAACGTAAGTTTTGGAGGGAATATTCAAACTTTAGCAGCCAGCTATATTCAAATAATCTCCAGTAGTTTAAGGTCAACTGACGGATTTCAATTACACCTGTAAAATTCCTTCACTGCAACACCTTGTTTAGTAATTGATTGAGTAACAAGAGGATGGAAATCTTGAAGGGCTATTTTTAGAATCCTGATTCTTATGCTCGTCATTGCCTATAAAACTTCTGCACAGCCTTAAAGGTTCATCTCAAGACCAAGCTACCCCTTGTTTCTTTCTCCAATTTCTTATTCTACTATGAGGATCAAGGATGTAGATATGTACATGTGTAATATATGTCATTGTATACATACATATACATGTATATAGACATAACCTTCCACTCCTATGACAACCACATTAAACACATATGATACATGTATATATTCATCTATACATCCTTGATTTTCATAGTAGAAGATCAAGGGCACTTTCAAACTTTAGCAGCCAGCTATATTCAAATGAAGTTTGAATGTTCAGAGATGTTCTAAGGTTTGAATGTTCAGAGAGACCTGCGCTTCTACTGTCCTTGAGGAAGAAATCAAATCTGTTCTGAACTTCCAAAGGCAGTCCTCTTATTGAAATTATATACACCCTTGTATATATGTACATATGTATATATATCATTGTATATAGTTTTTTAAAGGAAATACTTATCAATATGTCTAAATGTGTTTATATGTTTCTGGAAGTATGTGACCTCCTCCAACTACATACCCACAAGTACAAGCACACACTTATACACAGGTACTCTCTCAATTTTTATTTTAATGTCATTGAATGCATAAAACAACTTTTTTCAAAGTCCTTTTTTTTTTTTTGAGATGAGTCTCGCTCTGTTGCCTAGGCTGGAGTGCGGTGGCACAATCTTGGCTCACTGCAGCCTCTGCTTCCCAGGTTCAAGTGATTCTCCTGCCTCAGCTTCCCAAGTAGCTGGGACTACAGGCGCATGCCACCATGCCCAGCTAATTTTTGTATTTTTAATAGAGACAGAGTTTCACCATGTTGGCCAGGATGGTCTCGATATACTGACCCCATGATCCGCCTGCCTCAGCCTCCCAAAGTGCTGGGATTACAGGCGTGAGCCACCGTGCCCAGCTGTTCCAAAGTCCTTTTTGCATAAAACATATGCTGTGACAATTATATGTTAGTCATCTTGTAGGAATAATTCACAGTGTATATAATATTGTTAGACTTACAGGAAATTGTGCTAACCTTTTCTTGAGATGGGAAAGGATCTCTGAACTACTACTTAGGCTGAAAGTTCATTGTAATTTGCCCTAATCCACAAACAGCAGGATTTAGAGAAGCTCCATTACAGGATGCTAATGAAACTAAATTGTGAACTAAGTTGGGTTGGAGACAAGCAGGCATCACTTTCTGATGACCTTCCTCCCAATATTGCCAGAGAATTTTAGTCTAAATCAAGAAGCATTTTACCTAGTAAGCACACCTTCAGAGAATATCCATTTAAGAAATTACCTTCTGAAGAGGTTGAGAGGTTGGTCCCATGCTCATTTTTACTTATTCTTCAATAAGACTGGAAGGCTAATGCATGTACAAATTATTTTGTCATTTTGGAAGGGGATAAAACTTAGGATAAAAAAAATCAATAGAGAATTCTATTTCTGTATTTTGGAGCATTGAAATATATCAGCTATTTATTATGCCCCTATCAATAGAATATTGAAGCTGAAACAAATTTCCTTTCAGAATGAAGGTAAACATATTTTCTCTTCTTTCTTTCTTTTTTTTTTCTTTTTTTTTGAGACCGAGTCTCACTCTTGTTACCCAGGCTGGAGTGCAATGGCGCCATCTCAGCTTATTGCAACCTCTGCCTCCTGGGTTAAAGCAATTCTCCTGCCTCAGCCTCCCAAGTAGCTCGGATTACAGGCACCCACCACTACGCCTGGCTAATTTTTGTTTTGTTTTGTTTTTGGTAGAGATGGGGTTTCATCATGTTGGCCAGGCTGGTCTCGAACTCCTGACCTCAGGTGATCCACCCACCTTGGCCCTTCAAAGTGCTGGGATTATAGGCGTGAGCCACTGCGCCTGGCCAGCAAACATATTTTCTAAGACTCATTGGATTGCATAATGACAACAACTGAGATTTAATGTTAGATGGAGAATATGTTTTTATACATGTGTATTATTAACCATACACTATACAAGTTTCCAAATATGTAAAAAATGTTCTGACTTTTTTCTTTAAGAACAAATTATTTCAATATAGCTGTGCTTATGATGGCATAATTTCTGGCATTAAACTGGCTATATTAAAGTAAGTGGTAATGAATTAAAAGCACAGTAGAACTTTTGGTAGGTGTGAATTGATGAATAATCTTAATTAGAGGTAAAATGTACCCATTATTTTGTGCTATAAATGGACTTTCATTTTATGAATTGCAGAGATAAAGATGTGAAATGCGGTGATGCATTAGTCAAAAACTTAGTATAAGTGAACTAGATATAGGTTTTTTTGGAAAAAAAAAAAGGACAGCCCAATTTTTTAGCATTTGATTTACCTCAATTTACCTAAATATGATCATTTATACATTTATTAGTTAATTATATTCTATAGTTCATGACCTGGATTTGTACTATGGTTTTACTGTAGCTAAAATTCAATTATAAATTACTACTTACTTTGCCATTCAATTTAAGTTGAAATATTAGGAAACTGCACATACTAGCCTAATAGTTCAATAGTAAATCAGGAAAACTGGTAGCTTCTCCACTGAAGGTTGTATATTAACCAATTATTGGAAAATAAATGCACCAAATTTCTTGGGGTTAAGCAGCTATTTAAGGAGGTAGAGGTAAGAAGTAATGATAATTTGTTATACTGTATGTGATAGGTTCATTCTTAGGATATATTTTATTTTATGTATTATTCCATTTTATATTGCTATAAGAACTGAGACTGGTGATTTATAAGAGAGGAGGTTTAATTGGCTCATGGTTTTGTAAACTTTTAGGAAAGCACAGTGGCATCTGCTTCTGGGGAGGCCTCAGGAAGCTTCTAGTCATGGCAGGAGGCAAGGGAGAAGCAGGCACTTCACATGGTAAAAGCAGGAACAAGAAGAGAGATTGCAGGGGGAGGTGCCCCATGTTCTTAAATGACCAGATTTCATGTAAACTCAGAACGAGAGCTCACTTATCACCAAGGAGATGGCCCAAGCCATTCATGGGGGATCTGCTCCCACGATCCAAACCCTTCCCACCAGGACCCACCTCCAACATTGGGGATTACATTTCAATATGACATTTGAGACAAATATTCAAATTATGTCATTCTGCCCCTGGCCCCACCCAAATCTCATGTCCTCACATTGCAAGATACAATCCTGTCTTCCCAACACTCTCCAAAGTCTTAACTCATTCTAGTGTTAACTCTAAAGTCCAAAGTCTAAAGTCTCATCTGAGACAAGGCAAGTCCCTTCCACCTACACGCCTGTAAAATCAAAAACAAGTTGGTTACTTCCAAGATACAATGGAAGCTATAAGTATTGGGTAAGCATTCCCATTTCAAAAGGGAGAGATTGACCAAAAGAAAGGGGTTACAGGCCCCATTCAAACCCAAAACCTAACAGGGCAGTCATTGAATATTAAAGCTCAAAACTAGTCTCATTTAACTCTATTTCCCACATCCAAAGCACACTGGTATGAGGGTTGGCCTCCCTAGACCTTGGGCAGATCTGTCTCTGTGGCTTTGCAGGGTTCAGCTCCCAAGGCTGCTCTCACAGGTTGTTGAGTGTCTGCTGCTTTTCCAGGCACAGGGTGCAAGCTGCTGGTGAATCTACCATTCTCAGATCTGGAGGGTGGTGACCCCCTTCTTCCAGCTCCGCTAGGCAGTACCCCAATGGATTCTCTGTGTGGGGGCTCCATCCCCACATTTCCCCTTGGCAATGCCCTAGTCAGGGTTCTCTGTAATGGCTCCGTCCCTGAAGCAGGCTTCTGTCTGGGCATCCAGGCTTTTCCAAACATCTTCTGAAACCTAGGCAGAGGCCAAGCTTCCTAACTTTTGCACTCTGTACCCACAGGCTTTACACCATGTAGAAACCACCAAGGCTTATGGCTTGTATTCTCCAAAGCGGCAGCTCTAGCAGTACCTGGGCCCCATTTGAGCCCTAGCTGGAGTTGGAGTGGCCAGAATATGGGAAGCAGTGCCCTGAGGCTGCACAGGGCAGCAGGGCCTTAGGCCTGGCCCCAAAATTATTCTTTTCTCTGGGCCTGTGATGGGAGGGGCTGCCACAAAGTTCTCTGAAATGCCTTCAAGGCCTTTTCCCCATTGTTTTGATATTTAACACTTGGTTCCCTTTTAGTGATTCAAATATCTCTGGCAAGTGGTTGCTCTACAACCTGCTTTAATTCCTCTCCCAAAAAAGCTTTTTCTTTCTTTATCACATGGCTAGGCTGGAAATTTTTCAAGCTTTTATGTTCTGTTTCCCTTTTTTATTTTATTTTATTTTGTTTTAGAGATGGAGTCTCGCTCTGGTGCCCAGGCTGGAGTGTAGTGGTATGATCTCAGCTCACTGCAACCTCCCTCTCCTGGGTTCAAGCATTCCTCCTGCCTCAGCCTTCCAAGTAGCTGGGATTACAGACATGTACCACCATGCCTGGCTAATTTTTGTATTTTTAGTAGAGACGAGGTTTCACCATGTTGACCAGGCTGGTCTCGAACTCCTGACCTCAGGTGATCCACCCGCCTCAGCCTCCCAAAATGCTGGGATTACAAGTGTAAGCCACCGCACCCAGCCACTCTGTTTGTCTTTTAAATGTAAGTCCCAACTATTTTCTTTTCTCCTGCATCTGAGCGTAGGCTGTTAGAAGCAACTATGTTACCACTTGAACACTTTGCTGCTCAGAAATTTTTTCTGCCAGATACCATAAATAATCACTCTCAAGTTCAAACTTCCATAGATCCTTAGGGCATGAACACAATGCAGCCAAGTTCTTTGTTAAGGCATAATAGGTCTATCCTTTACTCTAGTTCCCAATAAGTTCCTCATTTCTATCTGAGACCTCAGCAGCCTGGACTTCATTGTTCATATCACTATCAACATTTTGGTCACAACCATTTCACCAGTCTCTAAGAAATTTCAAACCTTCCCTCTTCTTCCTGTTTTCTTCTGAGCCCTTCAAACTCTTCCAATTTCTGCCCATTATCCAGTTCCAGGGTTGGTTCTGTAACACCTAAAGTTCTTGCTTAGCCACGCCAAAGAATTGGTGTGGTGGCTGACTGCAGCAAGTGATAGAGACATGGACCGAGAGAGAGAAAAAGTTGTAGGCTTTATTGAGCAGAGTGAAAGCACAAAGCTTCCACAGCTTGGAAAGGGTCCCCGAACGGGTAGCCAGAGTTAGAGTATACGATTGCCTTTTTAACTCTTTAAGGCAGGAAATACTTGTGGCGAGAGCCAGAAACAAAAGCAGTAAATTATTTTGTGGCATGTCCTAGATTTTCAGGAAAACCGGAATTGCAACTTAGGTTTTATCTACTTTATGACCTTGCAGCAGCATGGCAAAGGAGACAGGATCTTACAGGACTTCATAAAGTATGTTTACAAGGAATTGGAATTGGGAGTATAGATAAGGTCCGCTGATCACAGAAAAACAGTTGGTTAACATTCCTTTTACTTTAGTTTCAGGGGTGGGGGAAGGGAGAGAGGGAGAGAGTACAAGGGGAAACTTACAGCAAAATTTTCACTGTTGATAGCTTTCCTGGGGAAGACAACACATGCACAAATCCTGGTGTTAGGAATATTTTAAGCATATATCTGCAATATTATTCATCCAGGACTGAAGTAAGTCCTGATGCAGGAAATGAGTGAGTTTCACAGCTTTCTGAGCCCCTACTTGACCCAGGAAGCCCAGCTGGCACCTCCTCTCAGTTCCACATTTACAGGTATCTTTATGGCATTACTCCATGGGGGGGACTATTTCTTTTTTATTATTATTATACTACAAGTTCTAGGGTACATGGGGACAACATGCAGGTTTGTTACATATGTATACATGTGCCATGTTGGTGTGCTGCACCAATTAACTTGTCATTTACATTAGATATATCTCCTAATGCTATCCCTCCCACCTCCCCCCACCCCACCACAGGCCTCAGTGTGTGATATTCCCCATCCTGTGTCCAAGTGTTCTCATTGTTCAATTCCCACCTATGAGTGAGAACATGCGGTGTTTGGTTTTCTGTCCTTGCGACAGTTTGCTCAGAATGATGGTTTCCAGCTTCATCCATGTCCCTACAAAGGACATGAACTCATCCTTTTTTATGGCTGCATAGTATTCCATCGTGTATATGTGCCACATTTTCTTAATCCAGTCTATCATTGATGGACATTTGGGTCAGTTCCAAGTCTTTGCTATTGTGAATAGTGCCGCAATAAACATACGTGTGCATGTGTCTTTATAGCAGCATGATTTATAATCCTTTGGGTATATACCCAGTGATGGGATGGCTGGGTCAAATGGTATTTCTAGTTCTAGATCCCTGAGGAATCACCACACTGCCTTCCACAATGGTTGAACTAGTTTACAGTCCCACCAACAGTGTAAAAGTGTCCCTATTTCTCCACATTCTCTCCAGCACCTGTTGTTTCCTGACTTTTTAATGATCGCCATTCTAACTGGTGTGAGATGGTATCTCATTGTGGTTTTGATTTGCATTGCTCTGACAACCAGTGATGATAAGCATTTTTTGATGTGTCTTTTGGCTGCATAAATGTCTTCTTTTGAGAAGTGTCTCTTTATATCCTTCTCCCACTTTTTGATGGGGTTGTTTGATTTTTTTCTTGTAAATTTGTTTAAGTTTTTTGTAGATTCTGGGTATTAGCCCTTTGTCAGATGAGTAGATTGCAAACATTTTCTCCCATTCTGTAGGTTACCTGTTCACTCTGATGGTAGTTTCTTTTGCTGTGCAGAAGCTCTTTAGTTTAATTAGATCCCATTTGTCAATTTTGGCTTTTGTTGCCATTGCTTTTGGTGTTTTAGACACAAAGTCCTTTCCCATGCCTATGTTCTGAATGGTATTGCCTAGGTTTTCTTCTAGGGTTTTTATGGTTTTAGGTCTAACATTGAAGTCTTTAATCTATCTTGAATTAATATTTGTATAAGGTGTAAGGAAGGGATCCAGTTTCAGCTTTCTACATATGGCTAGCCAGTTTTCCCAGCACCATTTATTAAATAGGGAATCCTTTCCCCATTTCTTGTTTTTGTCAGGTTTGTCAAAGATCAGATAGTTGTAGATGTGTGGTATTATTTCTGAGAGCTCTGTTCTGTTCCATTGGTCTGTATCTCTGTTTTGGTTACTGTAGCCTTGTAGTATAGTTTGAAGTCAGGTAGCATTATGCCTCCAGCTTTGTTCTTTTTCCTGAGGATTGTCTTGGCAATGTGGGCTCTTTTTTGGTTCCATATGAACTTTAAAGTATTTTTTTCCAATTCTGTGAAGAAAGTCATTGGTAGCTTGATGGGGATGGCATTGAATCTATAAATTACCTTGGGCAGCATGGCCATTTTTATGATATTGATTCTTCCTATCCATGAGCATGGAATGTTCTTCCATTTGTTTGTATCCTCTTTTGTTTTGTTGAGCAGTGGTTTGTAGTTCTCCTTGAAGAGGTCCTTCACATCCCTTGTAAGTTGGATTCCTAGGTACTTTATACTCTTTGAAGCAATTGTGAATGGGAGTTCATTCATGATTTGGCTCTCTGTTTGTCTGTTATTGGTGTAAAGGAATGCTTGTGATTTTTGCACATTGATTTTGTATCCTGAGACTTTGCTGAAGTTGCTGATCAGCTTAAGGAGATTTTGGGCTGAGTTGATGGGGTTTTCTAAATATGCAATCATGTCATCTGCAAACAGGGTCAATTTGACCTCCTCTCTTCCTAATTGAATACCCTTTATTTCCTTCTCCTGCCTGATTGCCCTGGCCAGAACTTCCAACACTATGTTGAATTGGAGTGGTGAGAGAGAGCATCCCTGTCTTGTGCCAGTTTTCAAAGGGAATGCTTCCAGTTTTTGCCCATTCAGTATGATATTGGCTGTGGGTTTGTCATAAATAGCTCTTATTATTTTGAGATATGTCCCATCAATACCTAGTTTATTGAGAGTTTTTAGCATGAAGGACTGTTGAATTTTGTTGAAGACCTTTTCTGCATCTATTGAGATAATCATGTGGTTTTTGTCTTTGGTTCCGTCTATATCCTGAATTACGTTTATTGATTTGCATATGTTGAACCAGCCTTGCATTCTAGGGATGAAACCCACTTGATCATGATGGATAAGCTTTTTGATGTGCTGTTGGATTCGGTTTACCAGTATTTGATTGGGGATTTTTGCATCGATGTTCATAAAGGATATTGGTCTAAAATTCTCTTTTTTTGTTGTGTCTCTGCCCGGCTTTGGTATCAGGATGATTCTGGCCTCATAAAATGAGTTAGGGAGGATTCCCTCTTTTTCTACTGATTGGAATAGTTTCAGGAGGAATGGTTCCAGCTCCTCTTTGTACCTCTGGTAGAATTCAGCTGTGAATCCGCCTGGTCCTGGACTTTTTTTGGTTGGTAGACTATCAGTTACTGCCTCAATTTCAGAGCCTGTTATTGGTTTATTCAGGGATTCAGCTTCTTCCTGTTTTAGTCTTGGGAGGGTGTATGTGTCCAGGAATTTATCCATTTCTTCTAGATTTTCTGGTTTTTTTGCATAGAGGTGTTTATAGTATTCTCTGATGGTAGTTTGTATTTCTGTGGGATTGGTAGTCATATCCACTTTATCATTTTTTATTGCATCTATTTGATTCTTCTCTCTTTTCTTCTTTGTTAGTCTTGCTAGCAGTCTATCAATTTTGTTGATGTTTTCAAAAAACCAGATCCTGCATTCAATGATTTTTTGAAGGGTTTTTTGTGTCTCTATCTCCTTCAGTTCTGCCCTGATCTTAGTTATTTCTTGCCTTCTTCTAGCTTTTGAATGTGTTTGCTCTTGCTTTTCTAGTTCTTTTAATTGTGATGTTAGGGTGTCAATTTTAGATCTTTCCTGCTTTCTCTTGTGGGCATTTAGTGCTATAAATTTCCCTCTACACACTGCTTTAAATGTGTCCCAGAGATTCTGGTATGTTGTGTCTTTGTTCTCATTGGTTTCAAAGAACATCTTTATTTCTGCCTTCATTTTTTTATATACCCAGTAGTCATTCAGGAGCAGGTTGTTCAGTTTCCATGTAGTTGAGCGGTTTTGAGTGAGTTTATTAATCGTGAGTTCTAGTTTGATTGCACTGTGGTCTGAGAGACAGTTGATTATAATTTCTGTTCTTTTACATATGCTGAGGAGTGCTTTACTTCCAACTATGTGGTCAATTTTGGAATAGGTGTGGTGTGGTGCTGAAAAGAATGTGTATTCTGTTGATTTCGGGTGGAGAATTCTGTAGATGTCTATTAGGTCTGCTTGGTGCAGAGCTGAGTTCAATTCCTGGATATCCTTGTTAACTTTCTGTCTCACTGATCTGTCTAATGTTGACAGTGGGATGTTAAAATCTCCCATTATTATTGTGTGGGAGTCTAAGTCTCTTTGTAGGTCTCTAAGGACTTGCTTTATGAATCTGGGTGCTCCTGTATTGGGTGCATATATATTTAGGATAGTTAGCTCTTCTTGTTGAATTGATCCCTTTACCATTATGTAATGGCCTTCTTTGTCTCTTTCTCTCTTCTGATCTTTGTTGGTTTAAAGTCTGTTTTATCAGAGACAGGGATCACAACCCCTGCTTTTTTTTGGTTTCCATTTTTTTGGTAGATCTTCCTCCATCCCTTTATTTTCAGCCTTTGTCTGTCTCTGTACTTGAGATGGGTTTCCTGAATACAGCACACTGGTGGTTCTTGACTCTTTATCCAATTTGCCAGTCTGTGTCTTTTAATTGGAGCATTTAGCCCATTTACATTTAAGGTTAATATTGTTATATGTGAATTTGATCCTGTCTTTATGATGTTAGCTGGTTATTTTGGTCATTAGTTGATGCAGTTTCTTCCTAGTATCAATGGTCTTTACAATTTGGCATGTTTTTGCAGTAGCTGGTACCAGTTGTTCCTTTCCATGTTTAGTGCTTCCTTCGGGAGCTCTTGTTAAGGCAGGCCTGGTGGTGACAAAATCTCTCAGCATTTGCTTGTCTGTAAGGGATTTCATTTCTCCTTCACTTATGAAGATTAGTTTGGCTGGATATGAAATTCTGGGTTGAAAATTCTTTTCTTTAAGAATGTTGAATATTGGCCCCCACTCTCTTCTGGCTTGTAGAGTTTCTGCCGAGAGATCAGCTGTTAGTCTGATGGGCTTCCCTTTGTGGGTAACCCGACCTTTCTCTCTGGTTGCCCTGAACATTTTTTCCTTCATTTCAACTTTGGTGAATCTGACAATTATGTGTCTTGGAGTTGCTCTTCTCGAGGAGTATCTTTGTGGCATTCTCTGTATTTCCTGAATTTGAATGTTGGCCTGCCTTGCCGGGTTGGGGAAGTTCTCCTAGATAATATACTGAAGAATGTTTTCCAACTTGCTTTCATTCTCCTCGTCACTTTCAGGTACACCAATCAGATGTAGATTTGGTCTTTTCATATATTCCCATATTTTTTGGAGGCTTTGTTCATTTCTTTTTATTCTTGTTTCTCTAAACTTCTCTTGTCACTTCATTTCATTCATTTGATCTTCAGTCACTGATACCCTTTCTTCTAGTTCATCAAATCGGGTACTGAATCTTGTGCACATGCCACGTAGTTCTCATGCCATGGTTTTCAGTTCCATCAGGTCATTTAAGGTCTTCTCCACACTGTTTATTCTAGTTGGCCATCTGTCTAATCTTTTTTCAAGGTTTTTAGCTGCTTTGCGATGGGTTCGAATATCCTCCGTTAGCTCGGAGAAGTTTGTTATTACCCATCATCTGAAGCCTTCTTCTCTGAACTCATCAAGGTCATTCTCCATCCAGCTTTGTTCCATTGCTGGCAAGGTGCTGTGTTCCTTTGGAGAAGAGTTGCTCTGACTTTTAGAATTTTCAGGTTTTGTGCTCTTGTTTCTCCCCATCTTTGTGGTTTTATCTACATTTTGTCTTTGATGATGGTGACATACAGATGGGGTTTTGGTGTGGATGTCCTTTCTGTTTGTTAGTTTTCCTTCTAACAGTCAGGCCCCTCAGCTTCAGGTCTGTTGGAGTTTGCTGGAGGTCCACTCCAGACCCTGTTTGCCTGGGTATCACCAGCAGAGGCTGCAGAACAGCAAATATTGCAGAATGGCCAATATTGCAGAACAGCAAATATTGCAGAACAGCAAATGCTGCCTGATTGTTCTTCTGGAAGCTTTGTCTCAGAGGGACACCCGGCCGTATGAGGTGTTATTTGGCCCTTACTGGGAGGTGCCTCCCAGTTAGGCTACTCAGGGGTCAGAGACCCACTTGAGGAGGCAGTCTATCCATTCTTAGATCTCAAACTCCGTGCTGGGAGAACCACTACTCTCTTCAAAGCTGCCAGACAGGGACACTTAAATCTGCAGAAGTTTCTACTGCCTTTTGTTCAGCTATGCCCTGCCCCCAGAGGTGGAGTCTACAGAGGCAGGCAGGCCTTCTTGAGCTGTGGTGGGCTTCTCCCATTTTGTGCTTCCAGGCCGCTTTGTTTACCTACTCAAATCTCAGTAATGGCAGATGCCCCTTCCCCAGCCTCACTGCCACCTTGCAGTTCGATCTCAGACTGCTGTTCTAGGAGTAAGCAAGGCTCCATGGGCATGGGACCCTTTGAGCCAGGCGTGAGATATAATCTCCTGTTGTGCCATTTGCTAAGACCATTGGAAAAGTGCAGTAAGTGCAGTATTAGGGTGGGAGTGATCCGATTTTCCAGATGCTGTCTGTCATGGCTTTCCTTGGCTTGGAAAGGGAATTCCCCAACCCCTTGCACTTCCCAGGTGAGGCGCTGCCTCACCCTGCCTTGGCTCATGCTCTGTGGGTTGCACCCAGTGTCCTGCACCCACTGTCCGACAAGCCCCAGTGAGATGAACCCGGTACCTCAGTTGGAAATGCAGAAATCACCCGTCTTCTGCGTTGCTCAGGCTGAGAGCTGTAGACTGGAGCTGTTCCTATTCAGCCATCTTGGAACCTCCCGCCGGGGTACTGTTTTTTTTGTTAGCCCAATCTTACACTGCTATGAAGAAATACCTGATGGCTGTGTACAGTGGCTCATGCCTGTAATCCCAGCATTTTGGTAGGCCAAGGTGGGTGGATCACGAGGTCAGGAGTTCAAGACCAGCCAGACCAACACCGTGAAAACCCTTCTCTACTAAAAATACAAAAATTAGCTGGGTGTGGAGGCGTGTGCCTGTAATCTCAGCTACTCAGGAGGCTGAGGCAGGAGAATTGCTTGAACCCGGGAGGTGGAGGTTGCTGTGAGCCGAGATCGTGCCACTGCACTCCATCCTGGGTGACAGAACTGACTCCTTCTCAAAACCAAAGAAAAAGAAAAAGAAATACCTGAGATTGGGCAATTTATAAAGAACCTGATTCTGCAGCTTTACAGGAAGCATGGCACCAGCATCTGCTTCAGGGAAGCCCTCAAGAAGCTTTTACTTATGGCAGAAGGTGAAGCAGGAGGAGGGACTTCACATGGCAAAAGCAGGAGTGAGAGAGAATGACGAGGATAGTGGGGAGGTGCCACACACTTTTAAATGACCAGATCTAATGAGAACTCACTATCATTAAGACAGCACCAAGCCATGAGGGATCCACCCATGATCCAAACACCTTCCACTAGGCCCCACCTCCAGGACTGGGGATTATAATTCAACATTAGATTTGGGCAAAGACAAATAGCCAAACTACATGACTGTATAACTAATTGTTTGGCATGAAGTACCAGCTTGATAACTGAATGAGCATAGGATGTGAAGACATAGTTTAGGGAAAAAAAAAAATGCCATTATAGTAAGTTCTGTCTGACTTGAACATCCTGTGGGAAGAGCATTTATACAAGTATGGATTTATACAAGCATTTATACAAGTATACTCAGTATTTATACAAGTATGGAATATATTATACTGAAAAATTAAAAAGTGTAGCATCAACAGTTTGGATTGCCTAGGAGAAATAGTTACATTTATTGATAAGATTAAATTATGTAGAAAATGAAAACCTGAACAGGCCAATAATTAGTGAGGAGATTGAATCATAATTAAGTCTCCCATCAAAGAAAAATGCAAGGCCAGATAGCTTCACTGCTGAGTGTTACCAAACATTTAAAGAAATTCTAATACCAATACTTCTAAAAAACTTTCACAAAATTGAGGAGGACAGATTACTCCCAACCTCATTTTAGGAGGCCAGCATTACACTTATATCAAAGCCCGAAAAGAACAGTACCACACACACAAAAATGAAGTAAAAATGCAAAAAACTACAGGCCAATATGCCTGATGAACAGAGGTGCAAAAATCTTCAACAAAATAGTAGCAGATCAAATTAAACAGCACATTAAAAAAAGATCATTCACCATCATAAAGTGAGATTCATCCCACAAATGTGTAAAGATGGTACAACATATGTAGATCAATAATCGAGATACATCACAATTACAGAATGAAGGACCAAATCCATATGATCATCTCAAGAGATTCAGGAAAAATCATTCAATAAGATCTAACATTCTTTCATGATAAAAACTCTCTACAAATTTGATATATGAATGTCCCTCAACACAATAAAAGCCATATATGACAGACCCACAGCTAATATCGTATTCAACATGAAAAAGTTGAAAAACTTCCCTGTAAATTCAGAACAAGCAAAGATGCATACTCCTGCCATTTCTCTTCAACATAGTACTAAAAGTTCTAGCCAGAGTAATCAGGCAAGAGAAAGAAAGAAAATCAGAAAGGAAGAAGTTAAATTGCTTGTTTGCAGACCACATGACCTTATATGTAGAAAACCCCAAAGACTCCATCAAAAAACAGAACTACTAAACAAATTCAGTAAAGATGCAAAATACAAAATCAGCATACAAAAATCAATAGCGTTTCCATACACTAACAGTGAACTATCTAAAAAAAAAAAAAATCAAGAAAACAATACTATATAAAATTGCTACAAAATAAATAAAATACTTCAGAATAAATTTAACCACTAAGGTAAAAGATCTCTACACTGAAATCTATAAATCTTTGATGAAATAAATTGAAGAAGGCACAAATCAATGGAAAGGCATGCCACACTAATGAATTGGAAGAACTAATATTGTTACAATATCTATACTACTCAAAATAACCTACAGAATTAATGCCAACCCTATGAAAATACCAATGACATTCTTCACAGCAATGGAAAAACAAAAACTCCCCAAATTTGTATGGTACCACAAAAGATCCCAAATATTCAAAGTTGTCTTCACCAAAATGAATAAAGCCGTCATAAATGTATATACCTACCCACAAAAATTAAAAAAAAAAGCTTGAAGAATTTCACTGCCTGACTTCAGAATATACTACAAAGTTGTAATAATCAAAACCACATGACACTCATATAAAAATAGACTTATAACCCAATGTAAGAGAAAAGAGAGAGCAGACATAAATGGAAGCATTAATTCCCAAGTAATTTTCAACAAAGGTGCCAACAACAAGCAAAGGAGAAAGAATTCTCTCTTCAATAAATGGTTCTGGGCTATTCACAAGAGCAAAGACATGAAATCAACCTAGATGTTTATCAACAGTGGACTGGATAAAGAAAATGTGGTACATATACACCACGGAATACTATGCAGCCATGAAAAACAATTAAATTGTGTTCTTTGCAGCAACATGAATGGACCTGGAAGCCATTACCCTAAGTAAATTAACGTAGGAACAGAAAACCAAATACCAAATGTTCTCAGTTGTAAGTGCGAGCTGAACATTAGTACATAAGGATACAAAGAAGGGAACACAGAGGCCTACTTGAGGTTGGAGTCTGGGAGGAGAGTGAGGATTGAAAAACTACCTAACACGTAATGTGCGATTATCTGAATGAGAAAATTATCTGTATGTCAAATCCCCACAACACGCAATGTGCTCATGTAACGAACCTACATATATACCTACTGAACCTAAAATAAAGTTGGAAGGAAAAAAAATAATAAGTAAATAGTGCTAGGAAACCTGAATATCCACATGCAGAAGAATGAAATTAGGCCCTTCTTTTTCATCATATACAAAAAAGTCAACTGAAAATGGATTTAAAACTTAAATATAAAATCCAAAACTATAAAACCATTAGAAGAAAACAATGGGGAAGAGCCATTAAATTGGTCTGGGTAATGACTTTGGACATGATCTCAAAAGAATAGGCAACACATGAAAAAGTGGACAAATGGGATTTTATCAAACTAAAAAGCTTCTGTACAGCAAAGTAAACAGAGTGAAGAGACAGCCTACAGAAAGGGAGTAAATACATGTACACTATCCATCTGATGAAAGGTTAATATCTAAAATCTATAAAACAATAGCACAAAAACCAAATAACTGGATTAAAAATGGACAAATAACCTGAATAAACGTTTCTCAAAAAAAGACATACAGATGCCCAACAGTTAGATGGAAAAATGCTCAACATCACTAAACATCAGGGAAGTTAAAATTGAAATCACAACGAAGGGCCATGCGCAGTGGCTTACGCCTGTAATCCCAGCGCTTTGGGAGGCCGAGATAGGCGGATCACGAGGTCAGGAGATCGAGACCATCCTGGCTAACGTGGTGAAACGCCGTCACTACTAAAAATACAAAAAAATTAGCCGGGCATAGTGGCGGGTGCCTGTAGTCCCAGCTACTCATGAGGCTGAGGCAGGAGAATGGTGTGAACCCGGGAGGCGGAGCTTGCAGTGAGCTGAGATCGTGCCACTGCACTCCAGCCTGGGTGACTGAGCGAGACTCCGTCTCCAAAAAAAAACAAATCACAATGAAATACCTGCTCACACCTGTTAGAATGCCCATGATAAATATAAAGAAAAAGATAACAAGAGTTGGTATAGACTTGGAGAAAAGGGAACTCTTATACACTGTTTGTGGCAATGTGAGTTAGTTCATTCATTATGGAAAACAGTATAGAGGTGTCTTAAGACCTTAAAAATAAAACTATCGTATTTTCCAGCAATCCCACAACTGGGTGTATATATATATATTTATATTGCTGTATATATATATTACTATATATATATTCCTTTGGATATATGTATATATCCAAAGGAAGCAAAATCAGTATGTTGAGACATCTGCACCCTCATTGTTACTGCTGTATTATTTACAAATTTAGGATATGGAATCTACATAAGTGTCCATCAGTATCAATGGATGAATGGATAAAGAAAACATATATACACACACGGAATACTATTCAGCCATAAAAGGAATGAAGTCTTTCTTTTGCGATAACATAAAGGGACCTGTAGAACAGTATGTTAAGTGGAATAAGCCAGGCACAAAAAGACAAATATTGCATGATCTCACTCATAGGTGGAATCTAAAAAAGTTGATCTCATGAGAGTAGAATGGTGGTTACCAGACTAGAATGGTTGGATTTCGGGTTAAGGAGATGTTCAAAGGATTAAAATTTCAGTTATAGAAGAGGAATAAGTTCAAGAGATCTATTGTACAATATGGAGGTTATTGTCAATGGCATTATGTTGTATTCTTGAAAAATGCTGAGAATGGGTATTAAGTATCTTACCAAAAAAATTATAGCTATGTGAAACAATACATATCTTAAATAGCTAGATTTAGTCATTCCACAATGTATATATACTTCAAAACATCATGTTATATACTACAAATGCATATTTTGTCATATTAAAAAAAGTTTAATGTAACAAGTTTTGCTTCAAGTGTTACATTTATCAACGTAGGTAATACTTCCAACAGAGCCAACAAAATTTGACAAAGAAGAAAGCAAAGCTCAATTAAGAACTTAAATCTTTAAATACTAAATAGGTAATAAAAGGCTTATTCTAGTCCTTAGATTCCAAAAAGCTCTTCCTTTCCAACATGTCACTAAGAAGACTTTAAAAAAAGATGAGTAGCATCTTCCCATTTTGAATCTTCAGTTATGCAAGATGAATAAATTCCAGAGATTTGCTGTCCAGCATTGTGCCTATAGTTAACAATATTGTATATTGTACACTTAAAAATTAAGAGGATAGATAGCATGTTAAATGTTCTTACCACTAAATAAATAAATAAACACACAAATGAATCTGATGATAAACCATGGAGATGCTTGGCTTCCACTTTTACATTCTTGGTAAACTAAGAAAATAGTATTTTTAATCAAAGGACTTCATTTTCTTTTGATGCCTGAATGAAGCTTGAGACACTGGAAACACTTTTTTAGGCTAATTCCTGGAGACATTGGTAATTGCACACATTTGGGGAAACAAAACAAAATTCTCTGTGTCAAAATTTTGCAGTATACACTCTTTTAACCGATCTTTATATACCACAGCAGGTCAAATTTCTAATAACTAACTTTCACTGGGCCTCTCACAAGTAGATGTAGTCTTTGCTTAGCATGCGGAGGTATTTCTGAAGATTTTTAAAATTACACTTGAAAAAGAAAAAAAAAGTCTGGCTATGCAATCATGAAAGAAAATTATGAAAAAATTTTTCCCTGTGTGATCATTATAGCTGACGCCTCTCCTAAGATAATAGTGAGCTTGTCATTCTTTGACCAAAGTTTGTACCTTTATGTCACTGATATATATCTCAAGGCTTTCTAGAATTGGAGATTTTGCCTAATATATGACAAATCATCGTCCTCAACATGGGCTATGAATGACTCAGATGGCACAGTTTGACAGAACTCTGGAGATGGACATTTTTAGTTGTAACCAGATGCTAAATTATTTTTAGGTAGATTACATTATTACTTTAGGATTTTCTTTTAATATATTCTGGAAAGAGTGTCCTCAGGAAATGAGTATCTCTAATATCTACTGAATTTAAGATCCCAAAATCTTGCTTATCTTAAGCAGTCTTATTTAAACAGAGGCAAGTATATCACAGATAAGAAATGTTCCTATGCAACATTAAGAACTTTATTAAGTTCATATTAAGAGCTTTACTCATAATAACGTGCCTAGTTGTTTCTTTGCTTCCAATTTAGAAAAACAACACCTCAGGTTAAACATACTAAGAGAATCAAAAGACAAATATGTAAATAGAATATAAATAACTATCATTTTAGCAACTATTTTAAGATAGGTATAAAGAGCATGGAATTGGAAATTAAACAAACTTTTTCTAATTACTGTGTGAACTTGTAAAAATTTACTAATTTTTCCTGGCATCAATTTCTTTGTCAAAATAGAATTCACAATATCTAAGTCACCTCATTATTATAAATAATAAATGAATACATGTATATTTATATTTATTTAGAACTGTATATAGCATTTAGTAGGTATTCAATAAATGATGCCTTAATTTTGTTAGTATAAATATGGAACATTATAACTTACAAATATTACCTTTATATACATTAACATTTTTCCACACTTAATTGCCCAGAACTTGAGGCTCTGAGAGGTTAGATGACTTTCTCAAGTTTTTGCATGTGGCAACTTTCTAAATGATGCCTTCATGTGTTTGTTCTACAATTACTCTGTGATTTTCATGTGTTATTTAATTTTCATGACAAGTAAAGAAACTGAAGCACAGAGAGATTAAATCATTCGCTCAGTATCACACAGCTAAAGAGTAATGGGGCAGAATTCCTAACCTCAGCCAAATCTCATGCTCTTTATATTACCCCACACTGAGCCCCCATATTCTTAAGGATACCGTGCTACATGACCAATTTAATCTCGATTCCCTATTTCACTGTATAACATATATATAAATATGTTTAATCCTCTAGCTATACTGTTCCTGAAGCATGTTGTGTACTTTCATGATATACATTATGTTATATTCACTTCCTGAAATGGTATCTTCACTTTTAACTAATTTCTTCCAATCTTCTGTATCTTTTACCTTTCCTTTGAATTCCTTCGGTAAACTACCAGGTGAAATTAATCCCATTATCTTTTGTGTTCTTATAGCTCTTTGCATATCTCTTCTTGTAATATTTATAACTGTATTATAGCTAATAATAAAAATACTTAACCATTTTTTTAGAACTATGGATCTGACCTAAGCATTTAAAATGTTTACTCATTTTAGTTTCCTCACAGCCTATGAGTTAGGTATTATTATTATAATCCCAATTTTATAGTCACAAAAAAAGGCATAGGTTAGCTAAAATACCTTTTCTAATTTCAGCCAGCTCATTCTTTGCATACTTTGCATGTGTATCTTTTCCACCCATTTACTTTCAACATCTTTGTGTTTTGTATTTAATGTTTCTCACTTGTAGACAGCATATATTGAGTTTTGCTTATTGATCCATTCTATCTCTTTTAATTGAAATTCTCATTAAAAAAACCATGTTGTTCCGGCTGTGATAGTTGTGTTTTGTGGAACAAACTGTGAGGTCAGCACAGAAACTAGAGAAACAGGGAGGGCTTAACAGGGGGAGAGGACATGTGATTTCACCTTAAAAGTATGAATTAAAAAAGGTTATAAGCACATAGTGGGAGTAGCATCCCTGACAAAGGATGTACAGAAACACAAAGGCTAGACAATATCAAAGGTGAAATGTAGAAGAGATCTTGCCACACTTACCTTTTATACACTCTTCTTTAGAAATACTTTACCCTCTCAAGTGAAGGGCTGAGCATAGTTGCCATGTTTAGACTAAATTAGTTTCATGTACCATATGTCTCCTGGCGGAGCCATCATTAATTGGGCCAGCTTTGAACACGGTAGTTAAGGTAGATTCATTTGTCTCCCTTTTGAAGATTTGAACTAGGAAACATGGACATCAGTATTGGAAAATTGTGACATGCCAAAATACATAGCTCTGATGAGAAAAAAAGAAGTACAGGTTTATGTAGTCATTTTCTCTTTGTTTACAGAGAACAGTATATTCCTTTCAATATCATTTCCCTTTAGTAGCATGGCAGTGACTATTTATTCCAGCCATATAGATCTATTAGGTTTACTGCAGAGGTGTTTTCAAGATTCTTATGGTGCCTTTTTTGGCTACCCTAGGAGAATAGTGAAAATTACAGCTTATACAATCATGGCAAAAATAGTGTGTGTAAATAATAATAATAAAAAGGCAACTCATTCCTATTTTCTGTGCACTATCTTAGCGTCATGGCATGAATGTGTAACGCCTCACCAATGTAGGGAAATTAGCAGGGTGATATGAGCTGAGATGGAAATGGATACTAACATGATGTCAGATGGATTATGTTTTTATGTGTTCTATAAAGTACCATATACAGTTATGAAATTCCATAAACAATGTCAATACCAGCTTAATATATTCAGTAGCTGCTGTTCTATTTAAGGTTGGAATTGACCATATTTTTGTATTACAGAGAAATAATGCTAATCCAAAACAGTTTATCAGGAATAAAACACACTACAAATCAAAATAGTGAAGAAACGATAGGCAATGTTCCTTATATTAAGAAAAAAAGTAAAAAGTGTTGAATTGTGGCAGAGACTTGAATGGACCGTAACGAATCTCAGTGGCTGAAAGCTGATTCAAAATAAATCAAGGTAATTAACAGATTGGAGATCTGCAAGCAACAGGTAATTGGATTATCAATGGATAATTTGTTTCCATGGATTTTTTTTTTTTACTATCTGTACATCTGCAATATTTCATTCTTGTCATTTTATTCTCTAAAAGAATGTCCTCAAAACTCAGTTAACCCCCCATATGATCTCCATAATTAAGTTATTTTGAAAAGATGGGTGCTGCATTTTTATCCTCAAACAACAGCCAAAGCCCTCATTTTAATTACAAATGACACTTTATTTCCGCTGCTTTTGTACTGGCTCTTTGAGAAGAAAACAGTTTTTTTCATCCTCCAGGGAGCAACAACACAAGTCTAGTAACTTTGATATTTAAAATATTGACCACAGGTCTGTATCTTTTTGCTAGTAATGGCAGTTAAACATTACAAATTTCAAATATCTTTTCATCAGATTTCTAACTTTGCTGTAACTTCGAAAGTTACAATTGTGAAATGAAGGCCTACATTTACCTGTTTTGCTTTCTTTGTAGTCATCTCAGAGTCACATTTCTCCATCTCTAAGGGATATGGAAAACCACTTCCCTTTGTTGGTGGGAAGAGAAGTTGGCAGTTTTCAAGGCAGTTATAAAAACTTTGAACAGTCCATCTAAAATATGTAGCAAAATTTCAAACAGAGAAAAAGCATACAATGAAATCAAGACCTTAACCTCACAGAAATGGAAAAGAATTTTGTGAGGCGGCCATTAGATATAACAGAGCACTGTTTTAGACTCAGGAAATTTGCTTTAAAAAGCTTTCAAAATGTTATTTTTCATAATAGCTACTTAGGCAATTGAAATACTTAAAAAGAAAATTGAATATACTAAACTTACTTAAAAACTTGAGTCATTTAAAATGCTTAAGAATATTTAATGGCCAGGCGCGGTGGCTCACGCCTGTAATCCCAGCACTTTGGGAGGCCGAGGCGGGCAGATCACGAGGTCAGGAGATGGAGACCATCCTGGCTAACACGGTGAAACCCCGTCTCTACTAAAAAAAAAAGCAAACAATTAGCCGGGCGTGGTGGCACATGCCTGTAGTCCCAGCTACTAGGGAGGCTGAGGCAGGAGAATGGCATAAACCCGGGAGGCGGAGCTTGCAGTGAGCCGAGATCCAGCCACTGCACTCCAGCCTGGGCGACAGAGTGAGACTCCTTCTCAAAGAGAAAAACAAAAGAATATTTAACTAATTAAGTAGTAAAAGTTGCCTCAAAAGTAATTGTCAAAATTTTCTATGCTGTTATAAAATAAGATGGGTAAACTAAAATAAGAACCAGTTTTTAAATTGTATAAAAAGAGTTCTAATATTTAAAACTAAAGAGACTTCTGGATAATCTTTTTGAAGGGGAAAAATCTTCAAGGGAATTATTTTGTATGTGTGTGTTTGTATTTAACAATCATTTTTATCAATAACTTGAATCATTTATTATCACTGGTGTCTATTTAAGCTGTTAATTTTTTTAAAAAATTAAATTCTTGTGAAGATCCTTTGGGGTTAATTGCAGTTTATTTGGAAATTATGAATTGCATGATTAAAAAGTTCAATTTGTGGGCGTTTGGGGGAAAGAGATAATATAAATACTTGGAGTACCTTCTGCAGTCTAAGAAGACAAGTATTATAGTTGAGGTCAAGAGTATTATTGATGACTGGAAGCTTCTTGCTTGGGCAGAGATCTTGGCATACAGGAGGCCAGATGAGGATAAAGTGTACTGCGTATTTAGGGGAAAAATTGTTCCATAAGAATGAGGATATTTGGACCCTACTGAACTTTCTACTATATTTCTTAGGCTTTTCAATACAAAAGGCAATTTTTTTTTTTTTTTTTGAGACAGTCTCGCTCTGTCACCCAGGCTGGAGTGCAATGGCATGATCTCCACTCACTGCAACCTCTGCCTCCCAGGTTCAAGCAATTCTCCTGCCTCAGCCTCCTAAGTATCTGGGATTATAGGCATGCACCACCACACCCCGCTAATTGCTGTATTTTTAGTAGAGATGGAGTTTCACCATGTTGGTCAGGCTGGTCTTGAACTCCAGACCTTGTGATCCACCCGCCTCGGCCTCCCAAAGTCCTGGGATTACAGGCATAAGCCACCACGCCAGACCCAAAAGGCATTTCTTAAGGAAATTGGGCATTTCTACATTATATATACTTTGGTCATTATTCCATCTTTGTTCTCTGGACTGTAGTAAAGTGGCTATGTAATCAGGATTTTAAGGACTTCTGGCCTCTTATTACCAAAGATGAAGTGTGTTTGCATATTGAGAAGAATAATTTGTAGGTGGTTAGTAACTCCAGGAAAGGAGAAGAGGAAAAAAGGGAAAAGGCAGGGAGCTAAGGTTTACTGAGCATATAGCAGGTGCTTTTCTTTTATTATTTTATGATTCCTTAGTAACTAATTTATCTTGTTATAATTATCCCTGCTTTACAGATTAAAAATTAAAGAACTTAGAATCAGAGATTGTAACTGAGGTCACACAGTTAGTAAGTAGCAGGCTGTATGGCTAACCCAGGTCTGATGCCAAAGTGAGGCAAGAGAATGGGCATGGAGGCAGGAAACCCAAGGACTTCCTAGAATGGAAACACTTCAGCTATGACAGGAAATATCCTCTTTATTTACATAGAGCATATACCAAGGAAATGACTTTGTAACTTTACTTCATCCTCTTCATTTACATAGGGTATACCCAAGTAAATAACTACGTAACTTCACTTTAGTCTCTTCCGTTACATAGGGCGTACACCAAGTAACCAATGGAAACCTCTAGAGGATGTTTAAACGCCTGTGGAGTGTTTCCATTGTCAGTAAATCTCTGCTTTTGTTGCTTCATTCTTTCTTTGCTTTGTTTGTGCATTTTGTCCAATTCTTTGTCCAAAATGCCAAGAACCTGGACACCCTCCACCGGTAACAAAAGTCCTTGTTCTTTCTAAAAACAGCAAAGGGAAATGAAACCTGGTGATAAAAAAAAGGTTGTTTCTCACCAAAAGACTTTTATTTCAGACTTCTTTGATCTGTTTTTTTTTTAAGGAATATCTTTATGTGATCTTTGTAATTGAATTTATCATAAGAAATCTATTTGCTTATCTTTGAAATGTATACTATTATGTTCTGTGTTTATGAGATTGAATATCTCATTTACATAAGCCATTTTTATTCTTATGTGTGCATGTTATATTCCATGTTGTTTTTGCCGTATGGTATTAAATAGTATAAGAACCTTTGTTGCCAAGTCCAAGCTTGTACAGCTCACTGCACAACAGCCAGTAAGTCAAGAGATGAGATGTCGGGGAGACGGAAAGCAACTATTCAGAGAGCCAGCAAACTGACAAGATGACAGACTAGTGTCCTAAACAAACCCTTAAATTGACAGGGATTTTATATTCTATTACAATATACATGTATATGTATGTTAATTGCAGCACTATTCACAAAGCAAAGACATGGAATCAACCCAAATGCCCATCAATGATAGACTGGATAAAGAAAATACAGTACATATACACCATGAAAGGCTATGAAGCCATAAAAAGGAACAAGATCGTGTCCTTTGCAGGGACATCGATGGAGCTGGAAGCCATTATCCTCAGCCAACTAATGCAGGAACAGAAAACCTAACACTGCATGTTCTCACTTATAAGTGGCAGCTGAACTATGAGAAAACATGGACACAGGGAGGGGAACAACACACACTGAGGCCTGTAGCGGGATTGGGTGGGGCAGGGAGAGCATTAAGCAAAATAGCGAATGCAGGCTGGGCTTAACACCTCGGTGATGGGTTGATAGGTACAGCACACCACCATGGCACACGTTTACCTATGTAATAAACCTGCACATCTTGAACACGTACCCTGGAACTTGAAAAAAAAATTAATACGGATTTTAGGCTTCTTTTGTGTTAGGAAAGGGGAAAGACGGAAAGGATTGAAGTCGAGAGGTGGCTGAGGACCACAGACATCTGGGTGTAAGCAAGAGCTTGAGGAGGTTGTGAAGCTTCTTTGTCCTTGGTGAGGTCACAATGCACCTATAAATCTTTAACATAACATTATTGCTTTTTTGTATACCTTCCTTAACTCATCGGTAGTTACTTATGGGAAGGGACTATTGTCATTTTTGCTTTAAAGTTAAACTATGAACTAAATTCCTGCCATAGTTAGCTTGGCCTACATGCAGAGAAAAGCAAAAACAGTCAACCTAAAAGATATCACCAAGGGGTAGGGAGTTAGGTGTAAAATAGAGTTGGTCATGCTAGGCCTCCTTTTCTATGTTACACCTTCCCTAATATAATAATTTTCAGAAATAGAATCAATGCTCATGGACAAATTTATTTGCTTTCACTGAAAGTAATGTTAGTATCATGTATATGTGTTTTTCCCATTAGGATCTCTTTTAATGACCCCATCTTTAGGTAAACCATGACTTTTGAATGTAAACCAAGGGGAATTGCTTTTCCTCCAGCATTGTAACAATCCATTCAGCAAAAGAGGCCAACAGGAAACCCCAAATTAATGATGTTTGTATTGATTGTATGTCAGTCTAAATTACTGTAATGGAAATGTCTACGCTTTCTCAGATACTTTTCCTAGTGGCATTTAAGAAGTAACAAAACTGTTTTTTCAATATATCACCAATTGGTTCCGGGAGGAGAGGAGATAATAGCTACCTGTTTCCATTGCTTACTTGGAACCATACATTTTACTAAATATGTTACATGCATTTTGCTCAATGAGATATGTGTTTTAATTAGTTTTTGGGTATTTGTTTGCTTATTTGTGTTTCTTTTTAAGAAAAACTTTTACCCTAAGGCTAGTAAGGAATTTCTGAAAGCAAAACAGAGGGGTGGAATGGTGGTTCTCCTAACAATGCCATGTTATTCCTGCTATTACTGCTTCTGTAAGGTTCCTGAGAATAAGTGGAGATGAAATTAGAGAGGTAGTAGGGGCTTTCACTAACAGGAAGAGACTTGAGTAGTCCTTGGGTCTTTCAGGTAAAACTTTGTGATTAGAAAATTTTCAGTGGAGTTGTCACTTCTTGGAGGTCGCTTTCTTGAAAGACTTTCATGGGTGTAGAAAGAGATCTGAGGGTGGTTCGGGTTTTGCTGCAAGGGTGGAATGCTAAAAACCTTGACAGGGGACAACTATTAATTGAACACAAAGTTGACCAAGGAACTCTTAGGATAACTAGACAATTTGTATAATCTTTCCTCTCCTTCTTAGCCTTGGTTGTGGTTATGATGTGGAGCACCATGGCACATAATACAGTTGATTCTCCTCAAGCTGTGTGGACCTACTCTACTTATTATTTCTGCATTCTGACTCTCCCTCTGGCATTTATTAAATAAAGGAGTGAAGGTGTTACTGGAAAGAGGCCCCAATCCAGACCCCATGAGAGGGTTCTTGGATCTTGCCCAAGAAAGAATTTGGGGCAAGTTCATAAAGTGAAAGCAGGTTTATTAGGGAAGAAACACAGGAATGGCTACTCCATAGATGAAGCAGCCCCAAAGGCTGCTTGTTGGGTGTTTATATGGTTATTTCTTGATCATTTGCTAAACAAGGGGTGGAATATTCATGAGTTTTATGGGAAAGGGGTGAGACATTCCCAGAACTGAGGGTTCCTCCCCTTTTTAGATTATATAGGGTCGATTTTGGATGTTGCCATGGCATTTGTAAACTGCCATGGCACTGTCGGGGGTGTCTTTTAGCAGCCTAATGCATTGTTATTAGTGTATAATGAGCAGCGAGAATGACTGGAGGTCACTTTCATCACCATCTTGGTTTTGGTGGATTTTATTGGGCTTCTTTACCATATCCTGTTTTATCAGTAGGGTCATTATGACCTGTTTCTTGTGCCAACCTCCTGTCCCATACTGTGACTGAGAATGCCTAACCTCCAGGGAATGCAGCTCAGTACATCTCGGCCTTATTTTACCCAGCCCTTATTGAAGAGAGAGTTTACCCTGGTTTGGATGCCTCTGACACACAGAATTTCACATCAAATTATGGCTTCCAGGTATAATGAGTATTTTGACTTAAAAACCCTCGGAGATCAACAGGCCTTGGAAGAGACTTTTCCCCATCTACATAAAGACTGGAGAGATCCACCAAGAAGAACAATTGTTCTTCCTTCTGTTCCCTGTTATCTCATTATCTGTTGCAGGAAAGCAGAGGAACAATGTAACCAGACCTGGCCCAAGTCTTTCACCAAAAAATGCCTGCCTCTCAGGTTCATTCAGCTTCTAAGGAGAACCATTTACAAGTCACTCTCTGTTCCCCCATCCATTCATTCTCTTGAGTATCCATTTATTCTCTTTAGCAATCATTTAATGCCCATTAATAGAATTACCTATACTTGCCATCTGCCCCCTCCACTCTGAAAAGAGCTTATATAAGTGCTTGGGCCCCACTGGGATATTAGGTAATCACTCTGTGATTCTCCCCATGCACATGGTTACATACATTTGTATGCCTTTTCTCTTATTAATCTGCCTTGTTGAAAATTGATTTTTCAGTGAACGTCCTGAAAGCAAGGGGGACGCCTTCTCTTTACCCCAACATAAACAACAATTAACTTAGTCGATACTATATGTCGAGCCCACTAACACCTTCATAGACAGTTTTCATCTTACTACAGATAATTTCTTCATGTGTTACTGAGATTGGATTATTCCCTTGACCTTGATCCCCTTCTTGGGCAGGAACTGGAGTGGTTATTTTCAATCAGCCCACTGCTGGCAAGTCCTCACAAGAGGGAGTGTGTGAGCAAGCTAGTGTGGGAACCGAAAGGAATGAACATTGGAACCGGCTGGTAACACCTCTCTGGTGGGAGTATGCTGTGTGTGGGCCCTACAGCAGCATCCAAGCCCCTACTTTCTCGGCACCCAGGTTCTTGTCCAGGTTCCAGGGAGAATCAGGTCACGTGAATGGATTGAAGGGTAGTGTATGAAGAGGATTTTATTGGCTGATAAAAGTGATTCTTAGTGGGATGGGGAAAGGGGAAGAAGGTGATCTTTCCTTGAAGCCACACTGTCTGAAGTTAGCTGCATCTATCCATAGTCTCCAATGCTCAGTTGTTACTTCTTTGTTCGCTACTCAGCCGCGTATATGCCCAACACTCAGCAGCTTGTATCCCTGATGCTCAGCCATTTGTGTTGCTCTGCCAGCTGAAGTCCTTTTATGGGCACAGGATAAGGGGTGGCAGGCCAAAAAGGCAACATTTGGGCAGGAGAAACAGGGCCAGCTGTTTTCACTTAAGGTTGTGGTTCCAGGCCTAAGAGTGGGGTTTATTCTGGCTGTTCTGTATCATTTCCCCCTCTGAAGAGGCACATCTAACTGCCGTTAGAATATAGATGATGACTGGTCTTAGCTACTTCCTGCTAAAAGGGGACGTTGTTTGGGGAAAATCGCAGTCGGATTCCTCCAAGAGGTCTGCCCAAGGGTCCCCGGCAAAAGGCAGCCATCATCCGAGGCTCCGGCTGCCTGCACATTTGAAGTCTCGATGGCCTCTAGGCAAAAGAAAAAACAAGCTTTACAAGGTTAAGTATGGATCAAACATGTGTATTATACAAGGAAATAATCTAGTGACAAAAAGTACAGAAATAAGAAGTGAAATATACTGACAACATTGTATTCTGAGTTGTCTCACCCTGGTGAAAGAAATTAAGCCTTGTGTGGGAGTGGTTAAATGTTATGAGAGAGATAACTGTTCTTGCCACATCTGTAGCAGTTAACAGGAGAACCTTAGGCATTCTGGGGTTTGTGGGCTTAGGCCATTAAAGCTTCTGCATATTTATTGTGTCTAAAAGACTAAGGTGGTCACATTCAGGAGGTCTTCTAAAGTACTATCTGGTTCTAAGGTCCATTTCTGAGTATAAATTAGAGGCAGTAAAGTTTGTTGGTTGCCCATTCTGAAAGACAGGGAATTCAGCATTCCTCATTTCCTTCCTTCTTTCAGCAAAAACTCAGGGTGTGAGTAAGAAAGCGGGCATCCCTCTTTCTCTTCTGTCTTTTCTTTCTTTCTTTCTTTCTTTTGAGACGTAGTCTCGCTCTGTCGCCCAGGCTGGAGTGCAGTGGCGTAATCTCGGCTCACTGCAAGCTCCGCCTCCCAGGTTCATGCCATTCTCCTGAGTAGCTGGGACTACAGGCGTCTGCCACCACGCCCGGCTAATTTTTTGTATTTTTTAGTAGAGACGGGGTTTCACCGTGTTAGCCAGGATGGACTCGATCTCCTGACCTCATGATCCGCCTGCCTCGGCCTCCCAAAGTGCTGGGAGCCACTGCACCCAGCCTCTCTTCTGTCTTTTCATCCCTGAGTCCTGGTGACCTTGGCAGGTGCCACCCATGGGTACTAATGTGGTTTGCACCCATGATGCAGGGAGGGCTTAGAGAATAGGAATTATCCACACTCACCTATACCTCTACCTCTCCCACGATTGACAACCTTTGAGTTCCCTGGGCCTCATTTATGCCATAGAGCATGGCCTCCTCCTATGAAGTGGGGGTTTAATTGGCAAGAATTTGTCTTGCCCATTTACATTGTGCATGTTGCCTGGCTTTGGATCCCTCAGATCTGGTTTTCCTTTCTAGGGCCTCAACCTGAAGCTTGAAATTGAGTTTGGGACAAAAAGGTGTTTAGGGGATACATAGATTCATTTAGGTTGTGTCCCAAATGGGCTTTGCCAAGTTTATAGATAACAGCCAGCATGGGTCGCTCCTCTGACGTTTCCCTATCACAAGCAGAGTGCTGAGGCAGCAAGAGAACTCTCTTGCTTAAAAAAGAAGAAAAACAACTTAAAGTGCATCAAATAGAGGGATCTTGGGGAAGAGCCTCTTGCTCTGTGGAAATGGGTTCCTTTAATCACCTATCCTTTCCCTGGTTCAGACTGGCTAGACCTCTGTGAAGGGAAACAGAGCCAACATTCCATTTACCTGAAGGAAAGAAAGAGGTGGCAGGGTCTTGGCAAAGAGACAGAGCTGACAGTTCCGCATTTTTAACTCACCCTTTTTCGTATCCTGGACGGGCCCCCAGATGACATGGGATTGTTCCCTTGACATTGACTCCCTTAGTGGGTGGAAACTGGAGTAGCTAATTTCAGTCAGCCCACTGCTGGCCACTTCTCACAAGCAGGAGTGTGTAAGCGAGTGTGGGAACCAGAGGAAACAAACACTGGAACCAGCAGTTTCCAGCACCCATGATGCAGAGAGAGCCTAGAGAAGAGGAATTATCCATACTCCTCTCTGGCAGAGCACACTTTGTACGGGCTCTGCAGCAGTGTCTAAGCCCTTACCCTTTCAGCACCCGGGTTCTTGTCCAGCATCCAGGAAGAATCAGGTCACATGAACGAATTGATGGGTAGTGTATGCGAAGGATTTTATTGGGCGGTAAAAGTGCCTCTCAGTGGGATGGGGAATTGGAAAGGGGCTAGTTTGGGAAGAAGGTGATGTTTCCCTGAAGCCACACTCTCTGAAGTTAGCTGCGTCTATCTGTAGTCTCTGATGCTCATTTACTGTTTCTCTGCTCACTGCTCAGCCACTTGTGTCCCTTATGCTCAGCCACTTGTGTTGCTCTGACAGCTGAAGTCTTTTTATGGGCACAGGATAGGGTTGTGGCAGGTCAAAAAGGCAACATTGGGGGCGGGGGGGGGGGGGTGTCAAAAAATGGGGTCAGCTGTTTTCACTTAAGGCTGCGGTTCCAGGCTTAAGAGTGGGGGGTGGGGGGGGCGGTGGTTAGCCAGGAGTCCAGCTGTTCTGTATTATTACTATTGTCAACTGAAGAATGATGAAGTTAGTAAATTTGAAAAAGAGACCCTTATTTCTCATGAAGTGTTGTAGCCTGCAGAGTGGCCATTCTGACAGGCTGGGAAGCATAGCCTTCTGCCAGAAGCCAAAAACAGACCCTTTGAGAGAGGGGCAAAGGGAATAGGAATTTGTGCTAAGCAGGGTGGCTAAATATACATATTGAGTAAGCTATAGCAAAAATAGCGTAAATATTCATGAAAGGAGAAATTTGCACATGCACAGTTGTGCTTCATGACCCTACATGGGTCTTATGTTCAAAAATGGCAGTGTTAGCATAATCCAAAGGTAGAGTTTTTGGCCCTCTGATTTCAAAAAGGACACAAAAACCCTTACCATGCAACCTCCATAGACAAGCCAGAACCACGCCATGGTCTGTGGTCTCTTATCAGGAAGAAATGCTGGCCAATTGTTTTGTTGAAACTGCAAAAGGGAGGAGCAGCATCAGGTGGTTGGTTAAAATCAGAGGACCAGTGACTCTTTTGAAAGGGATGATTTCTGTTTAGCTCTTAGGGAAGAAAGCCTAATGGCCCTTAGCACAGTTAGCAATAGAGCAGGTATAGTGAGGTATGGCCCATCATGGCCAAGGACTTGGTTTTCAAGGTTACTCTGGGGTTCCGTTGGCCAACAGGTGGTCCATTCAGTCAGTTTCAGGGACTTAGGATTTCATTTTTATTTCTCACTATAGACACAAATGTCAAATTAAAACATTTTTACTTCTAAGCCTGTGCTGTAGAGACAGAATGTTTTGTTAGGATTCTTTCTTTGTTTTTTCTTTTTTTTTTTTTTGAGACAGAGTCTTGCTCTCTCACCCAGGCTGGAGTGCAGTGGCGTGATCTCAGCTCACTGCAACCTCCGTCTCCTGGGTTCAAGCCGTTCTCCTGCCTCAGTCTCCCCAGTAGCTGAGACTACAGACACCTACCACCACGCCTGGCTAATTTTTGTGTTTTTAATAGAGATGGGGTTTTGCCATGTTGGCCAGGCTGGTCTTGAACTCCTGACCTCAGGTGATTGACCTGCCTCGGCCTCCCAAAGTGCTGGAATTACAGGCTGGGATTACAGGCATGAGCCACTGCACCTGACCTTGTTAGGATTATTTCTAAAAGCAGTTTCTGTTTAAAAATGCAAATTAAAAAACGTTTAAGAAGTTACCCTAGATTTTGAATGGAGACGGGGCTCGGTGAATAGAAATCTACCCTTTTATAGATGAAGAAACTGATATGGTGAGTTAAAGGTCTTTCCTGAGCTGATATCACAGCTAAGTGTTAGGGATGAAAAGATATGTAAGGCTTATCAGATATCTGGTCTCTTAATAACTATGATATTAAAGTTCAAAGTGAGAGAGAGATGATGCAGATGATTTGATTTCTAAGATGATTTCAGTTTCTCTAGGCTTTAAGCCCTGGGAAGGCTGATGTCTTAAGGCTTTGGAGATTTTTATTATTGTGAATGGCTTACATACAATTTTTAATGAGGGTTGCTAAACTCATTGATATGAAGTGTTATTCTGGTATTAAGAGATACAGTTTTTATTCTCAAGGGACACACAATTTTCAACACCCAAATGACTCTTCTTTGGGCTAACTCAAGCCTTTCTTCTCACATGGGTAATACATATTCTTTAGCAAATGACTAATAAAACAATTGAATAACTATCTACACCCTTTACAGTGTGTCTGTGTGTTTTTGTGACATATACCAAACCATAGTTTGTAAACTGGTAAAGATTAAGTTTAAAATACGTTATGAATGTATTTATATCTATCTTTATATGTATAGTTTACTGATTTGTTAGAAAATGAGTCAATTTATAGCCAATTGGTTGAGCGAAAAAAACACTTAGATTGTGAGAATCAGTTGAACTATTTATATATGCAGAAAAAGATAATCAATTTATAATCTTAATCTTGATTTGCCAAAGGAATGAGTCCATGATGACACGAAGGGGGTGCCATCCTCTGTTTTCTTTATACTCTTGTTCAATGTTTTCTACACAACTCCAGGAAGCCCCATTTATGTAGACTGCACTTATTTTTCCTCTCCCTCTTTTATTGTGTGTCCTTTTCTTGCTCAGTTGCTTTGAATTAGGCCTTCCACAAGCATCTGCTAGAATGTTTAATGATTTTTGATGGCACTAACAAGTTACTTGAGTTCCTGCATAGGGTTAAGATGTGAACTTAAAAGTTTGAAGAATGTCCTTGAACTTGTAAATAATAACTCAGGGTTTGATAGACACACAGATTTTGTAAGAGGAAAATAAACCAATTTGTTGTAATTTTCTCTACTATCACGGGATATTGTTTCTGCAGGAAGAAAGGAATGAAAATACTGCTAGAGGTAATGGAAACAGTTATTAAATAGATGAGTACTAAAAAGAAAAATTTCCTTCCTCTGTCAAAGCCTTCTGGTGTTGCCAAGTCATTTTGTATCTGACGTTCAAGAGAGACAGGGCTGCTCTCTTCAAAGGCTCATGAGAAAAAAAAATCAACGTGGCAACATCTTAAGAACAGAGAGAGAAGGTAATAATGAGAAAAATATTTGTGTTATTTCTCAAATCAAAGAGAAATTTGAAACTATTAATAAAAAGTCTCCCTGAGAAACTAAATCTTATTAATACTAACAGGTTGACAGAATGATTTAGTGTTCTTATTTCATTTTATTTGAAAATGTGGAAGGATAATATCCTTCCACTTTAATACTTTAGTAGTTAAAGTGTTGCAGTTTATGCTTCTGTAATCCTGTGTGTGTGTGTGTGTGTGTGTGTGTGTGTTTAAATCCAACTCATGAAAGAGATGTGAGAAGTATCAGTTCACTTCTCACTGATATATGTTTGCAGACCATTAGAATATGTGTAGCCTGACTGAATGTATCATAATGGGGAGATGACTGATGCATTTCTTTACAGAAAATGGTGTCTTTTATCTCAATAATATAGTTTTAAAAATTGAGTCTGCAAGAGGATATATATATTGCCACCTCTCTTCTACAAAGCCAGAGAAAATAATTTGTCCCTTTGTAATCTCTTGAAACCAAGCTAGAATGTTTATATTACATTTGTTGAAGGATAATTTTAAGAAAAAGGTATAATCATACATCTTATATAGAAATAAAATAAGCATATGATAAAAATGGAATTAACTTATTATTAATGAGTAAACTGTTAAGATGTTACAACTAGTTCAAAAGACAATGCCAGGCATGGACACATTTTAAAATCAGAAATATTACCGTGAATTTGCAAGTGGAGGGAAACTGGCTTCTAACACAGTGATGGAGGGAGGTCAGTTGAAACTTTACCAGCAAAAATCATTTTCACATCTATAAAAAAATAATCATTTTGTTTTACCATGATCCATGCCTTCGAGAGTTTTTTGTAACTTGTGAACAGTTCAAAGTCAGTGAAATACTAGAATCAGATAATCAGGAAGAATATATGCTAAAAAATATACATAACTTTAACACATATTTGAGATACCCAGTAATATTTTTATTTATTTCAACTTTGCTTACACATCGTAATGCTCTGGTTGACATATTTCCAACTCTTTGATTATCTCTGCATATTTGTATATCTCCTTTGTCTAGTGAGGTGCTGAGCTTCTCTGGGGCAGGAATTGTGCCTTGAATTATTATTGTCTCTCCATTATTCCAAATATAGTAATGGATTTAAAAAACCCTACTTACTAAATAGTTGGTGAAATGAAATTATTGAGTATTATTGGTCAGCCTCAATGAACATTTGCTCTTTATGGCATGTTGTCGAATAATACCCAAAAATATCATTGGAGGCCTAGGGAAAAGTAGTGCTTGTTTTGTTAGGCTAAATCGTTTGGTTAACGTCTACACTCATGTCCTTAGTTGATGCTCTTATAGGATTTTATTGGTGAGCAGATAGATCTTTTGGCCCCAGCTTGCCCTAACAATCTAAAAAACATGGGTGGAACTATTCAGCCAGACAAACCTAGATTCAAATACTACTCCATTACCTTGCCCCTCAGGGACCATAGGTAAAAAATATTTAACTTTTCTGAAATTTAGTTTTCCTCAATTCTCAGTTCTTTAAATTGAGATACTACTATAACCCAATATTCTTACAAAGATTATGTAACATAGGTAAAAATTTAGTCTAGCGAGCCTTGCAATAAATACTATATTTCTTCTTTTCTTTCCTTTCGTATTTAAAACAAACAAAAAAATCACTATGAAGTCTCAACCTCTGCTGAATACAATTTCGGATTGAGATTAGCATAAATACTCATAAAATAATTTTTAAAAATGTTTGAATAATTTTAGTTTATAAGATTACTATTTAAGGTCACTTTTAACTTAAAAACTACAAATGTTTTAAAGTTAGGACAACTTTTAAAACTTTTACTTTGCTCCCTCATAATTAGAAAAAATTCTAGTTTATTAAAGGTCTTTCTCCCTTTCCACCTGTTAGAAAACAAAAATGTCACAATGTTTCTAGAATACATAAATGTAGTATCTTATCTCTGTGTTTTTCTTTTTTTTTAATTAGGGGAATTCCAGTCATCCAATTCAGAAAACAGATTATCCATTGTATTCATATTCCAGAACAGAAAATATCAGCATTCAAGCAGAACACTCAGTATATACGCAGAGTTGGTCTAACAGATTCATATTGCTTTCATGAAAATAGAATTCAAAAATCAGCCTCTTGAAAGGTCTAACTGCATGGAAAGAGATGGTATATGATATTTTCATTGCCAATCCAAAACGGGTACATTTTCTTCTTTTATATGCTGTTTCTTAATTTACAGTTTAGAGCAGGCTTTTCAGCTAAACCAGTAAAAAGACAGCATGGGAGCTGCCTACTTTAATGTAATTTTAAGCCATACTTATTCTTTTAGAAACATAGAAAAACAGAAATGAAGTTTACCCTCTTTGTTTGCTGATATTTTTATGGCAGTTCCACAGTTATTTTTATTCCTAAAAAAATTGCATCTGTTGAGGAGTAAGAGCATTTGGAACAACTTAAATTAATGTTTCATTTATGTGTCAATTATTTGTCAGAACAGTTTCGTCAACGTCTTGTCTCTTCAACGTTGCCTACTATTTAAAAACAAAAACAACATAAACAAAATAAATGGGTATGTCGTGTCCTCTGGAAAGCCTCTGGGTAATAAGAAATTAAATGCTGAAATCCCCGTCGATATGTTTAGAGATTCCTGGGCTTCCATGGAGATTTTAAGACACATGTGAGGTCACTGTCCACACAATTCTTCCATAGAGAATTTTTCAGAGACTCAAAAATTCCCTCCAAGATCATTTACGGGAAGGAAAAAAAATCTTCCAGTTTTACTGCAGCCAATTCTAATCTTTCGGGATTTGGAGCTCAGAATTTAGTAGACTGTATTATGAGCACTTCAGCATTTAGAAACCTCTCTGAAAAAAGCTGAAACAACAACTAGGTTGAGGTTTCATACTGGAGAGAGCTGGCTGGCATTCACACGGACCAGCATTCTACATGATCTTGATTTACGAGCTGATCAGATATAAAGCAAATCCTACTTCCCTCTCATTAGTGATAATTAACAATTAATAGAGCAGTAGAGAAGTCAATCTACAAGATTCTTTTCTTTTCTCATAGATCTGACTATAGGTCATGTTTTCCCTTTAGAAAATTTACCCACACTAAAATTATGTTTCAAGTAGAAAAAACGTGCCTACGTTTCCAAATTGGTTACATCATATATCAGTAAAACCTCAGAAATACTGAGAGTAATTTCAGGGAAAGGACTATTTAGAATGGAGAAAGCTTTGCCTTAGCTACTTTTTAAAGGAAGAAATATAGTCTAGATATGTAATGATAAAGAACAAAAAGTACTGGCGAGAGATGAGCGTGTATTTGAACTTGGAGTCTAGCTGTGGGCCCTAACTTGTCCAAAATTGATCTCTTCATGCTGCCTCCTACTTGGTGCCTACTCCAACGTTATTAATACTAAAGGTTATTACCGTAATCGCCCCCAGTTGCTTAAGCCAGCTATTTTGAAGTTTTTCTTAATACTTTCTTCATTACATACAACCAAACAACTACTTGGGCTATTGGTCCTACTGCCTAATTGTCCTTAGAATTTATTCACTTCTTTTTTTTCCTCCTGCCTCTTTATTTTGGTCTAATCTGGAAGCATCTCTAGTATGCCCTACAGAAACAGCTGGTAACTGGTCCCTCTGCCTCAGGGCTTTGTGTTTTTGTTTTGTTTTGTTTTGTTTTGTTTTGTTTTTGAGACGGAGTCTCGCTCTGTTGCCCACGCTGGAGTGCAGTGGCACGATCTCGGCTCACTGCAAGCTCCGCCTCCTGGGTTCACGCCATTCTCCTGCCTCAGCCTCCCGAGTAGCTGGGACCACAGGCTCCTGCCACCACGCACAGCTAATTGGTTTTTTTTTTTTTGTATTTTTAGTAGAGATGGGGTTTCACCGTGTTAGCCAGGATGGTCTTGATCTCCTGACGTCGTGATCCGCCTGCCTTGGCCTCCCAAAGTGCTGGGATTACAGGTGTGAGCCACGGCACCCAGCCTGTTGTTCTCTTTTTTTTTTTTTTTTTTTTTTTTTTTTTTTTGAGACGGAGTCTCGCTCTGTGGCCCAGGCGGGAGTGCAGTGGCGCAATCTCGGCTCACTGCAAGCTCCGCCTCCTGGGTTCACGCCATTCTCCTGCCTCAGCCTCCCGAGTAGCTGGGACTACAGGCGCCCACCATCACGCCCGGCCAATTTTTTTGTATTTTTTTTAGTAGAGACGGGGTTTCACCGTGTTAGCCAGGATGGTCTCCATCTCCTGACCTCGTGATCCGCCTGCCTCGGCCTCCCAAAGTGCTGGGATTACAAGCGTGAGCCACCGCGCCCGGCCCTGTTGTTCTCTTAATTAATACTGAATCCTATAGCTAGCGTGTTCCTCAAAATTTGACCATGTTAATCCAGCTTACTGCCCTACCCTGCCACATGCACCACACAAGAACAGGCACATGTATTTACGCTTTTTTTGTTTTTTTTTTTTTGTTGTTTTTTTTTTTAAGACGGAGTCTTGCCGTATTGTCCAGGCTAGAGTGCTTGCTTTGGTGCCATCCTGGCTCACTGCAACCTCCACCTCCGAGGTTCAAGCGATTCTCCTGCTCAGTCTCCTGAGTAGCTGGGATTAGAGGCACTTGCCACCACGCCTGGCTAATTTTTTTGCATTTTTAGTAGAGACGAGGATTTCACCATGTTGGTCAGGCTGGTCTCGAACTCCTGACCTCAGGTGATCCACCCGACTCGGCCTCCCAAAGTTCTAGGATTACAGACGTGAGCCACTGCGCCTGGCCTACTTACTCACTCTTAAAACAGATTCCTCTTAGGAGAAATTCTCAAATGTCTATAATGGCTTATTGTTCTCCAAAGTATATGACTTCTGTCTATTTCTCACACCACTGGAATCACCATATCTAAGCCCACATATCCATCTTTTAGCCAACTGGCCCAGAAGGAATCAAATTTTTTTATGAAAAATTCCCACAAAAACTCCAGAGGCTCACTGTGAATAAATGTATGGACGAGTTTAGTAGGTATCGTGTAGTTAGAAATGGATTTGTCTCTGCTGGAACTGTATAGCTTTCTATGACAAAATTATGAACATTCTGAGAAAGGATGAAATGAAGGCTAAGAAGGCAATCCGCCAGTGTGTACTACAATAGTATTAATTACATTTTAATGTGATAAAAATTACCTGGGATGCAGAGACTCATTCATCCGATACTGGGTGAAATCTGAAATTTGGCATTTCTAACAAGTTTCCAGGTGATACGGATGCTGCAGGCCCACGGTTCTCTGAGTTGTAAGGCATTAGAATGCCTTATTTGCATGTATTACAAAGTAGGGTACAGCCATTAGAGCCTGAATTTTGGGGACATAGAATCTGGGATTCAATTTCTGAATCTTATTCTTAAGTTTTCGGTGACTTTGGGAAGCTAATTAAATACTTTAAACCTCCACTTTCACATCTGTTAAATAGCATTACCCATCTTATAAGGATCTTGTGAGTATTAAAGGAGATTATATATGCACAGTGTTTTATATGGGCTTTAAAATCATTAATAAATATGACTTTCACATTCTAAGTGTTCAATAAATTAGAGTAACATTGACTTATGAAATAAAATATAATAACACTATGGTAAAAATCACTACTCTTAAAGAAATTACTGTTTTTAAAGAGCAAACATAGCTGTACAAATATCTGTGAGATTTCATTCAACTCAAAAATTTTATTACCAATGACATGAAAATATAATATTAGTAAAATCAATAAAAATATATCTATAATTCATATTAGTAGGGACTGAACTAATGAAGTTTTCTCTAGGATACTTTTTAAAGTCTATTAAGAGAAGAAAATCTGAAATAAAATTACAATTCTTTCCTAAAGATCAAAAAATATTGAGTCCCAATTTATCTGCTTACAGAATTTACATATAATTTGAGGAGAAAATTAAAATTTAGCTGTTGGCCAGCTGAAAGAAATATTTTTATTTCTTTTTTTCAGATATGATTAGAATTCACTGAAATAAGGTACATGTACATAACTAAATTGTACTTTGATTACAAATTATAACTACTTTGGGAAAGTATTTCTTTTTTGAATTTCATAAGAGAAACTGGCTATGTTAGCTTTGCCTCATTCGTCCAGATGAAGCAGATACTGACAAAAAGATTAGAATGCAAATGTTTTCTTATTTCCTACAATTACTATTTCTGCTTGAAAGAAAAGGATGTGTGTATTCACTATGAAATCATTTGCATTTGGCTGCAAATTGACAATGAAATCTGGGGGCAGGAAGGAGGATGCTTTTTGCCAAATTTTAGATGAGTTGGAGAAAAAGAGTGGCTGTACCCTTATAGATGATGTCAGGAGACTTTCTGTCCTCTTTGGAGTTAAATTAGAGGCATATGCTTCAATATTAAAGTCACTGAAAACCATAATATTTTGCATTCAAGTCCTTGTGCAACATGAAATAAAATCCATCTTTATGTTAAAATTTAGTGCTAAATTCACAAAACATACAAAGCAGTGGGAGACGTAGAGAGATCATAAATTGTTATAAATATTATTAAAAGAAAGTGTCTGGAGCAGCATTTTTTAATTTTCCATGAAAGATTTTAATATTTTATGCAAAGTTAATATAGTAAACCTGACTCGAAATTCAACCCCACTCTTAGTTTAAAAAAACAAAAAACAAAAACAATGTGTACTTAATGACGATCTGATGGTCTTTGCCACTTGAATTTTATTTAAGTTTGATTTTCATAAAATTTAATTTGGGGAGAATATAGGAGAATACTTGAAGACAGCAGGATGTTTCTGGACCAATCCTATTGCTCTCACTTGGTGCCATCAATTGAATAGAGAGAGAGATTTGAAAACAAAAATAGAACTCCAGCTTGGGCGACAAGAGCGAAACTCCATCTCAAAATAATAATAATAATAAAAAACGGAAACAGAAATAGAAATGTTGGGTTGGAATTGTAGATGAGGGATGAGAGGGGGAACAGTGTGTGTGTTGTGTGGGGTGGGGGAATCATTTTGTGTCATAGGAGAAACAAAGATACATGAGATCTACAGTTGTGTCTCCAAGAACAGCTATTTAAAATCAGATATCCCATTTCAGACATTGCTTCTTTATTATGTTGCTTATCTATATAGCATATGCGAAATATTTTTATAAAGAAAACGATGATAAGGTAAGGTCAGATCGCTTTTCTTTAAGACGGTGACTTTACCCTCAGGGGACACTTGGCAATGTCCTAGAGATGCTTTTTATTGTCATATCTGGGAGGGAGAGTGCCAGTGGCATCTAATGGGTAGAGGCCCGGGATGCTGCTAGACATCCTACAATGCACAGGGCAGTCCCCCACAACAAGGAAGTATTCCACTCAAAATGTTAGTAGTGCTGAGGTTGAGAAATCCTGCTTTAGGATTAGGAAGCACACTGCTTCTTTGTTCTTATTCATTTTTTTTTTAAACAAGACTAAATGGTAACCTTATAAACTGTGGGTACCCCCACTCATGTTTGGATGTCTTTTTAATTCCCGACAGTCAGGACCCTTTTTTGTAACCTTTTAATTGTCTTTTAAAAGGTCCATTTGCTGATTATAAATAGCACAAATCGAGAAAATAAGTTGAATTTTCCTAAAAACTATTTGAAACAGGTGTTTGATTTGATGTTTTGTAGCGAAAATTGATATATCATTGGCTCTAGGGTTAGAATGCCTTAGTGTTAATCCTGGTTTTAAATTTCTCATCTGTGAGTTCGGCCTGTGCATGGAACTACAGTCGGCCCTGGAATAGGTTCCAAGACCCCTGTGGATACCAAAATTCGTGTATAATCATGTCTAGTTGTCAGCCTGGTGCAACCTGAGGAAAATGTCCAGTGTTCTGTATATGGGGTTTCACATCAGGAGAATACTGTATTATCAATCCCTGTTTGGTTTCAGATGTGGGGGGTGGGGAGCCTGACTATATTTACTGAAAAATGTAAATAAGTGGACTCACACAGTTTAAACCCAAGTTCTTCAAGTTTCATTTCTACTTCATAGGGTTACTATAAAGATTAATTAAACTAATTCACGTAAAGCAATTAGAATAGAACCTAGCAGAAGCAAGTGCTAAATAAGTGTTAGCTCTTTCTATAAAACAAACAAAAAATCAACCATCCTTCCTAGCCTTAATCCTGGGTTCTATTTGTCCTCATCCTCCCCAGCATCTGTTATTATATGCATGTAAGTGCCAGTAAGATGAAATCTTTTAGCCTCTCCTTGAGGAAACAATTGGGGATCATACAGCAATTGTATATTTTGTTGGTATGAATGAAATAAACAACTTTGCTAGATTAGTTGGAATTTTATGTAGTTGGGTATTATTGAAAATTCTTTGCCAAATTATAATAAACATTAGAATGTGTTCTACATAATTTCCCTTACTGGACTAGCTTTTTTTCGGTGCTATTTTAAAATATGTTTAATTCTCCAACTGCTTAGAAGTCTTTTTAGATATTTTGCTGGGTGCAATAGCACACTTTATATCTATATTGTAGATTACCTAAATACATTAAAATCCAAACCAATGCTGCTTGTGTGCAAAGATCGTCATTTATTCAACTACAAATGGCATTGTGCTAGGTGCTGGGAATATAAAGCCGAGTAAGAAAAGCTCTGACCTTTAGCCATACATATTCTAGTTTGGGAGACAGACACATACAGAGAAGTTGTAGCACAGTGTGTTAAGGAGTCTGCTAGACATATGGACAGAGTGCTGCTGTTGAAATGCACAATTTGTAAACTATATTAAAGGAAATGGATATAACAGGAAACAATTTTTCTTTTTCTTCTTTCTAGAAACAGGGTCTTGCTCTGTCACCTAGGTTGGGGGAGGGCAATGATGCATTCATACAACCTGGAACCCCTGGATTCAAGGGATCCTCCCACCTCAATCTCCCAAGTTGCTTGGACTGCAAGCACAGACCATGAGGCCCTGCTAAATTTTAAAAATTTCTTTTTAGAGATGGGGTCTCGCTATGTTGACAAGACTGGTCTCAAACTCCTCGTCTAAAGTAATCCTTTCACCTTGGCCTCCTAAAGTGCTGATTATAGGCATGAGTCACCACACTTAGCCAGGATAAAATTTTAAGCCTTAAAAAACTTAGAGGAAAGATAAACTCCTGCAGCACTTCTGTTTAATTACCTGAAAAATCAGGCAATTGTAGTGAGAGGCAGTAGAAATGGAAGTTGATTTACTGAAGTCTATACATACATTTTATATTTTAATTTCCATATTGTAAGTATCAAAGACTAAAAAGTGTTCAGTTATAGAAATTTCTGTAACATCACCCACAATTGGATTTTTAAAAAGCCATTTATCTTGCATGTGAGAAAGTATAAACACCTACAACAGAACAGTGAATCTCTGTTTTTTTTTTTTGTTTTTTTTTGTTTTTTTTTGTTTTTTGAGGCGGAGTCTCACTCTGTCGCCCAGGCTGGAGTGCAGTGGTGCGATCTTGGCTCACTGCAAGCTCCGCCTCCCAGGTTCACGCCATTCTCCTGCCTCAGCCTCCCCAGTAGCTGGGACTACAGGCACCCGCCACCACGCCCGGGTAATTTCTTTTTGTATTTTTAGTAGAGATGGGGTTTCACCGTGTTAGCCAAGATGGTCTCAATCTCCTGACCTCGTGATCTGCCCGCCTCGGCCTCCCAAAGTGCTGGGATTACAGGCGTGAGCCACCATGCCCAGCCAAATCTCTGGTTTTTTCTCTGCCATGTAGACACAACTCTGAAGATATTACATTCAGTTCTTGGTGTCTCACCTTAAGGACTATAGACACGTGGAGGGGAAAGGGAGTAGTCAAGATAATAGAGTGAACACAAATAATGCAATAGGGAAATTGGTTGAGAAAACTGAGCATAAATAGCCCAGGTATAAGCAGGTAATAAAAGGTTGAAAGGGGGCCCAATTTTATAAAGGGTATTAGGCCACAGATTATAATATATGGTAGAAGTGATAGAATTGTTGTACATAGTATTCGTTTCATCCTATAAAGGAATGATAAAGTTTTTTTAAAAAAAAACATGAAATGAGCCAGCTTAGGAAACAGAGTGTTCTTACTCTTTGGAGATTTCAGTATACAGGACTGAACACATTTGGTGGGGTTATTGTTGAGGGACTTAAACATCCTGTGGGTAAGGAAGAAACAATTTTTTTTTTCAACAATGAGAAATTCTGACATTAAAAAGAAAAACTGTATTAATTTGTACTTGACTAAAGTTACTAATAAAAGTTAAGAACGGATTCAATGTTGAATGCTATTCTGGGCTGCATTCAAGTATAGAGAAATAAAATTATACCACTGGTGACCCTCGGTTCTGTAACAGAAATGAGATGTCTATCTCATGAGGCTATTACAGTCAGCAAAAAATTTAAATAATGACAATTAAAGGGCAGCTGACTTCCCAAACTAATGAAAGTTCAATATCTTCTAATTATATTGGTGGCACAGAATGGTTGCAAAATATGACTTCGTAGCTCTAATGCAATACTGTAATGAGTCTTTCATTTCAGCTTTGTGCTGTATGCTTTCACATCTCTTGGGCATATGAAATATGCCATTGGCAAAGGAAAAGGAACTCACTGTTTTTGACATAGTAAAGGAAAGTGGCTGCTTAGGGAACCAAGCAATTTAAAATTTCAATTTATTTCAGCAATCATTTATTACTCTTGACTTTATATCATTCTCTGTCCTAGATACTGGAAATAATACTAAGATTAATAAGGCATGAAACTTGCCCTCAAGATGCATAGTGTCTAGTGGAAGAGTAAAACACATTAAAATTATCTGTTGCATGCTTGTGCACTTTTGGTGGGGATGTAGATTCTTGTAGCCTTTATGGGAAACAGTATGAAGATTTCTCAAAAACTAAAATTCCACTGGTGAGTATCTACCCAAAGGAAAATAAATAATTTCATAAAAAAGACACTTGCACTTGTACATTTATCATAGCACCATTTGCTATTGTAAAGTCGTGGAATCAACCTAAGTGCCCCTGAATGGATGATTGGAAAAAGAAAATGTGGTACATATACATCATGGACTACCATGCATCCACAAAAAAGAATGAATGAAATTGTATCTTTATGCCTCTTAGTTTTCTTGATGACCCCAAAGATTTACTCTCCTCACCCGCTCACCTTCAACATTTAACTTGTTCCCCATTGTAAATTTTACTCCCCCCAACACATTACTTCATGCCTTCCAAACTCTAACCGCAAGTTTCTCTTTTCCCAGACAGAAAACTGGATTATGCCCAATAAAACCCTTCATTACCTCCTTTCCACCAGTAGGTCCTTTTCATTTCTTCTTTCAACTCTGTCAAATTGTTACTTTTCTCAATCTATCCAGTACATATTTTTTTGGGCCATCATCTAAAAAACACAACTGACAATTCTCTCACATTTTTCTACACAGACTCTGACAGTCACAGTAATTGAATTAATTAAAGCAACTGAATATTTGAATTATCCAGTCTTTTCTCACTATCAGAATATGCCAGCCTGGTATCTACCATTGCTTTGAGAAGATGGAGTGTATTAGTTCATTCTTGTACTGTTATAAAAGAATACCTGTAATTGGGTAATTTATAAAGAAAAGATGTTTAATCTGCTCACAGTGCTGTGGGTTATATAGGCTTCTGCTTCTGGGGAGGTCTCAGGAAACTTACAATCTTGGTAGAAGACAAAGGGGAAGCAAGCAGGTCTTCATATGGCCAGCAGGAGAGAGAGAGCAAAGGGGGAAGTGCTACACACTTTCAAATAACCAGATTTTGTGAGAACTCACAAACTTTCAGGAGAACAGCAAGGGGAAAGTCTGCCCCCATGATCCAATCACTGCCCACCAGGTCCCTCTTCCGACACTTGGGATCACAATTCAACGTGAGATTTGTGTAGGGACACAGAGGCCAACCATATTATAGAGATTTTTATAAACCCTTTTATAAAAAGTATTGTCTGTACTATAGCCAGTAAAGTGAACTGACTTTGAAATTATTGCAGTAGATTGGGACAGTTACATTTTAATATAGTCTATTAGAAGAATAAAGGTGAACTGAAACTTCTGATGGTCATGTTTGAACATAGAAACTTAAAGATATATCTATATTTTTTATATATAGATGGACTTTATAAATAATACATACTGTAGAACTTAAAGAGTAATTTGTTTCTAGCTATGTCTTGATAAATTTCTGGCTATTATTTTTACTATATAAACTCACATATTATAAATTTTATCTTTAGTTATCTTTCGAATTCAAATGTTTCTAACTCCACTGCAACCATTCTAAACCAAATTGTCATTTTGATGAGATTACTGGGTTCCTATCTAATCTTTCTGCTTCTGCCATTTCCACCTTTCTCCCTTACAACTTACGTAAAAAATATAACTGAAGATAAATTTCCCGAATGTAAATCTTTCTATTTTATCGTGTAAATACTCTACTTACCAATTGCTCTTCATGCCCTGGTCTCTAACTTTCTTTTTATCTTCAGCTCCTAGAACACCCTTCTTTACTCTCTCTAATCTCTCTCTAGACTCTTTCCCAGACTTAGAGTGCATCATTTTCTCTTCTGTCACCTTCACATTTTCTGTTTTGCTCCAGAAGGGCTAGAAAATGATCACATTTTACTTCTGACTACGTGTCCTTTGTTTATCACAGTGCTTGGCACACAACAGTAGTTCAATAAATATTAATTTATTTAATTGAAGACCAAAGAAACTGTGTCAACAAATAATATATATATATATATATATATATATATATATATATATATATATATATACTTCACAAACTGTTATTACATCAGTTTCAGGATTTCTGTTCTTATGAATGTGTAGATAACATTCATAGCCCACCCACGTAAAGAACTGTGGTTTCATCTTCTTTCTTTTTCCCCTTTTTTTGTGGTTTCTGATGCTGTTCTCTCTTTTTCTTTTTTTTTACCTTTACTTTAAGTTCAGAAGTACAAGTGCAGGTTTGTTACATAGGTAAACATGTGTCATGGGGGTTTGCTGTACAAATTTTTTTTAATCACCCAGGTATTAGGGCTAGTACCCATTAGTTGCTTTTCCTGATCCTCTCTCTCCTCTCATTCTCCACCCCCTGAAAGTCCCCAGTGTGCATTGTTCCCCTCTGTGTGTTCATGAGTTCTCATCATGTAGTTTATAAGTGAGAACATGCAGTAGTTAGTTTTCTGTTCCTGTGTTAGTTTGCTAAGGACAATGGCCTCTAGCTCCATCCATGTCCCTGCAAAAAGCATAATCTTGTTCCTTTTTATGGCTGCATAGTATTCTATGGTGTATATATACCACACTTTATTTATGCAGTGTATTATTGATGGGCATTTAGGTTGATTCCATGTCTTTACTATTGTGAATGGTGTGGCAATGAACACACGTGTGCATGTATCTTTATAATAGAATGATTTTTATTCCTTTGGGTATATACCCAGTAATGGGATTGCTGGGTCAAATGGTATTTTTGGTTCTAAATCTTAGAGGAATCACTACACCATCTCCCACAATGATTGAAATAATTTACATTCCCACCCACAGTGTAAAACGTTCGTATTTCTCTGCAACCTCTCTAGCATGTGTTGTTTCTTCATTTTTTTTTTAAATATAATTGCCATTCTGACTGGCGTGAGATGGTATCTCACTGTGGTTTTGATTTTCATTTCTCTAATCATCAGTGATGTCATATCTTTGTTCTCATTAGGTTCAAATAACTTCTTGATTCCTGGCTTAATTTCATTATTTACCCAAAAGTCATTCAGGAGCAGGTTGTTCAATTTTTATGTAGTCGTATTGTTTTGAGTTAACTTCTTAGTCTTGAGTTCTAATTTGATTGTGCTGTGGTCTAAGAGACTGTTTGTTATTATTTCAGTTCTTTTGCATTTGCTGAGAAGTGTTCCACTTCTGATTATGCGATCAATTTTAGGGTAAGTGCCATGTGGCAATGAGAAGAATGTATATCTTGTTGTTTTAGGGTGGGGAGTTCTGTAGATATGTATCAGGTTTATTGGATCAGAGGTGAGTTTAGGTCCTGAATATCTTTGTTAATTTTCTGTCTTGTGATCTGTCAAATATTTTCAGTGGGGTGTTAAAGTCTCCCACTATTATTGTGTGGGAGTCTAAGTCTCTTTGAAGGTCTCTAAGAACTTGCTTTATGAATCTGCGTGCTCCTTTGTTGGTTCCACATATATTTAGGATAGTTAGCTCTTCTTGTTGAAATGAACCCTTTACCATTATGTAATGCCATTCTTTGTCTTTTTTTTTTTATCTCTACTATTAGTTTAAAGTCTGTTTTGTGACAAGCTAGTATTGCAATTCCTGCTTTTTCTGTTTTGCATTTATTTTGTAGGTTTCCCTCCATCCCTCTATTTTGAGCCTGTGTGTCATTGCATGTGAGATGGGTGTCTTGCAGACAGCATACCAGTGGGTCTTGGTTCCTTATCCAGCTTGTCACTCTGTGTCTTTTAATTGGAGCATTTAGCCCATTTACATTTAAGGTTATTATTGGTTGTTTGAATTTGATCCTGTCTTGATCTTAGCTGGTTATTTTGTAGACCTGTTTATGTGGTTGCTTTATAGGATTACTGGTTTGTGTACTTCAATGTATTTTTGTAGTAGTTGGGAACAGTCTTTCCTTTCCACATTTAGTGCTTCCTTCAGGAGCTCTTGTAAGGCAGGTCTGGTGGTAATGAATTCCCTTAGCATTCACTTCTCTGAAAAGGATCTAATTTCTTCTTTGCTTATGAAGCTTAATTTGGCCAGGTAGGAAATTCTGGGTTGGAAATTCTTTTCTTTAAGAATGTTGACTATTGGCCCCCAATCTCTTCTGGCTTGTAGGGTTTCCACTGAGAGGTCCACTGTTAGTCTAATGAGCTTCCATTTTTAGGTGACCTGGCATTTCTCTGTAGCTGCTCTTAACATTTTTTTTTTGTCATTTCAACTTTGGAAAATCTGCATCTTGAGGATGATCTATTCATATAATATCTTACTGGTGTTCTCTGCATTTCCTGAACTTGAATGTTGGCCCACCTACCTGGTTCTCATGGATGATATCCTGAAATATGTTTTCCAAATTGGTTCCATCCTCCCCATCTCTTTCAGGTGTACCAATCAGTCATAGATTCAAGCTTTTTGCATAATCTCATATTTCTTGAAGGTTATATTCATCCTTGTTTTTCTTTTATCTCTATTCTTGTTTGCCTGTCTTATTTCTCAGTCTTTAAGCTCTGGGATTCTTTCCTCCACTTGTTCTATGCTCCTACTAATACTTGTGATTGCATTATGAAACTTTTGAATTGGTTTTTCAACTCTATCAAGTTTGCTGTGTTCTTCTCTATACTGACTATTTTGTCTGTCAGCTCCTGCAATGTTTTATCATGATTTTTAGCTTCCTTGCATTGGGTTAGAATGTGCTCCTTTAGCTCAGTGAGCTTTGTTCCTATCCATATTCTGAATTCCACTTCTGTCATTTCAGCCATCTCAGCCTCAGCACAGTTCTGAACCCCTGCTGGGGAGGTGACGTGATCATTTGGAGGAAAGAGGGTACTCTGGCTTTTTAAGTTTTCAACATTTTTTTTTCTTTTTTTTTTTTTTTTTTGAGACAGAGTCTCGCTCTGTCACCCAGGCTGGAGTGCAGTGGCATGATCTCAGCTCACTGCAAGCTCTGCCTCCTGGGTTCATGCCATTCTCCTGCCTCAGCCTCCCCAGTAGCTGGGACTACAGGTGCCTGCCACCATGCATGGCTAATTTTTTTCTGTATTTTTAGTAGAGATGGGGTTTCACCATGTTAGCCAGGATGGTCTCGATCTCCTGACCCCGTGATCTGCCCACCTCGGCCTCCCAAAGTGCTGGGATTACAGGCTTGAGCCACTGTGCCTGGCCAGTTTTCAGCATTCTTGTGCTGATGCTTTCTCATCTTTGTGGGCTTATCTACCTTCAGTCTTTGAGGTTGCTGACCTTTGGATTTTTTTTTCCTTTTAACAGACTTGTCACTATTCCATAGGGTTGCTGAGGTTTGCTGGGGGTCTGCTCCGGTCTTTTGTCACCTCAGATTTTTCAGTACCTGGAGGTATCACCAGTGAAGGCTGTGAAACAGCAAATATGCCAGCCTGCCTCTTTGGGATCTTTATTCCATGGGGCTATGGGCCTGTTGCTGGGCTCAACACATCTATAGGAGGTGGCTGGAGATCCTGGTTGGGAGGTCTCATCCAGTCAGGAGGAATGGGATTATGATCCACTTAAAGAATCAGTCTGGCCATGCTTTTGTGGAGCACCTGTTGCTGTGCAGGAGTACTGCTTCCACCACTGGTCAGCTTGGGCTCTCCAAAGCCTGGAAGCTAGAATGGCTAAGTTGCCCAAACCACAAAGATGGTGGCCTACCTCTCCCCCCGGAAACTCCATTCCAGCTAGGCACATCATTATTGTGAGTACCTGGCTGGAATTCCAAGCCAGTGGGTTTTATCTGGTGAGATGTTGTAGAAGTGGGGCCTGCAGATTATTGCTGCTCAGCCCCATAGATTCATTCTCTTTCTTAGGGGTATGTAAAGAGCGCCAACCTCCCACTTTGCCAGAGTTGCAGTTACTTTTGCCGGGAAGCCCAGAGCTAGAGTATGTAAAGCTCCTGGGTCTCCATGCATGCCTTAGTGGCTGCTCTGCTGATCTACATAGCTCTGTGTGTCAGACTAAAGTCTGACACACAGTGGGTTCATGCAGGTATCTCCTAAACTGAGGATTGCAAAGATCCTTGGGAGGAGTGTAGTTTCTAGGTCACACATTTACTCCTTGCTTCCCTGGGTTGGGGAAGTTCTCTTAGGTCCATGTTGCTCCCGGGTGAGCCGTTGTTTTGCCTTTTGGTTTCCTCCATTCTCCATGGGTCAAGTTGTTTCCTTGATTAGTCCCAGTGTGGATACCTGGATGTTTCAGTTGAAGGTGCTATATTTACTTGCCTGTTTTCTTTCTCCCCCTGACAGTCACATACCCTAGCTGCTTCTAGTTGGCCATCTTGACCACACATCCCCTGAAACTAATACTTATTGTATTATATATTATATTTCATTGTTCCAAGGTGCCTTCCCACACATTTTAATATTTTATAAATCATATGTATCTTACAACTGATTATGTCATACAGTCACTTTCTATAAGGTGGCTTTCACATCATAGCTGTCAAGTCAAGCACTGTGTAAAATTGTTTTTGCAGATTGCATGACAGTATAACTGTAATCACTTGACTATTCACTTTACAAACCATTGATGGGCCATTTGAAGAAGGAATAGATGTCCTGGTTCTTGTCTCAAAACTTTCTGTTGAAAGCATCTGTACTAAAAGTTACAGTATGTACATCAATGGCTTGAGAAGACTTCTAAGAGATAAAGACTGGAGCACTCTTTTAAGAAATGCCACATTAATAAATCTTTTCTTAGCACAAAAGAGGTTACCATTTGTAAAAGATGAACCACAACAGTTCTGAGTTGAAAACTGATTCAAGTGTAGATCCCAGAGGGGCAGAGCAAGGTAGTGGGGTAGGACTCTCCAGCCATCATCTCACCCATAGAAATATCAATTTGAATAACTATTCACACATGAAAACACCTTCCTAAAAGCTAATTAAAGCAGGTGAAAGATCACAATACCAGGATGTAACATTGAACAGGGTAGGAAGACGTATTGAATGGGATAGGAAGGGCAGTTCTACCTTACCCACACTCACCCTATACCAATGCTCCAAAATGTAGTCCTGGAAGAGATACCGTCTGCTTGGGAGAAAGATAAATGTGAGTACAGGACTTTCAGTCTTGATCTCTGAACAGCACAACCACTGGGCCAACTTCAGCAGCCCTAGTTTCCAGACAATTATCAGCAGCAGATGATCCTCAGTGGTCATGTGCTTCTGGTATGTCACGTTTTTAAATGTTTTTCAAATATTCAAAACTTTATTTTTAAAAATAGCCTTCACTACAATTTAAAAGCCTAGGTAAGCTCCATTTTACCCCACCCAAAGAACTGATAAACATATAAAGCAAAGCTAATTCGTTTTTAAAACAAAATTATTTAAAAGGCAAAAGATAGCATCCGTAGGTATTAGTCCAGCTTCTGAAAGTTAGCGTGGTTCTCAGGTAATCAGGCTTCTGGCATGCCTTGGCACTGCACATCTTACAGCAAGCCCTGAGTTTCTGCCAGTTGCATGGTAGCTACAGCTGCCTCAGGATTCTGGCCTGCCCCAGGACTGTGGCTGCTGCATTGCTTTCTCAGACAAAACTAGTCTGCAAAGACTGTAATAAGTATCTATTAATATTTCTTCCAATGAACAGATATTGACACACCACTACAAAGGTCAAGAACAAACAAAGAAACATAACACCACCAAATAAACAAAAGAAAGTGCCAGTGACTGACCCTAAAGGATTATAGCTGTATTAATTGCTTGACAAAGAATTTATAGTAACTGTTTTAAAGAAGCTCAATAAACTTCAAGAAAATACAGAAAAATAATTCAATGAAATGAGAAAAACAATGTGTCAAGAACAAGAAATTTAATAGGAATTGAAATAATTTTAAAAATTCAACAGAAATCCTGAAGATGAAAAACCCCCAAATAAAAAAATAAAATTTAAAAATACAATATCAACAACAGACTTGATCAAGTATAAAAAAGCTATCAATTCAGACAGGTTATTTGAAAATACATGAAGGAGAAAAAAGAAAAACAACAAGATAAAAGAAGTTGTAAAACTTATAGGATTTTTGGGACAATATCAAAGTCACAGGAGTCACAGAAGTTAAAGAAGGAGAAAAGAAAGATAAAGGAGTAAAAAGCTATTAAAGAAATTGTAGCAGGAAACTTTCCAATCCTGGAGGAAGATGTAAATATCCAGGCACAGGAAGGTCAAAGGTCTCCAATCAGATTCAATCCAAATAAGATTACCCTGAGAAATATATTAAATGGTCAAAAATCAAAGACAGAGAAGATCGTGAAAGCAGCAAAGAAAAGAAGCAGATGTCGTATAAGTGAGTTCCAATAAAACTAGCAGCAGACTTTCAGCAGAAGCCTTACAAGACAGGTGACAGTGGGATGATATAGTCAAAGTGCTGAAGGAAAAACATTTTAAACCAAGAACACTGTAACCGGAAAAGTTGTTTTTTAAAAATGAAGGTGAGGGCTGGGCACGGTGGCTCACACTTGCAATCCCAGCACTTTGGGAGCCCGAGGTGGGTGGATCACGAGGTCAGGAGATCAAGACCATCCTGGCTAACACAGTGAAACTCTAATAAAAATCCAAAAATAGCCGGGTGTGGTGGTATGTGCCTGTAGTCCCAGCCACTTGGGAGGCTGAGGCAGGAGAATTGCTTGAACCCAGGAGGCAGAGGTTGCAGTGAGCTGAAATCGCGCCACTGCACTCCAGCCAGGGTGACAGAGTGAAACTTTGTCTCAAAAAAAAACAAGAAGGTGGAAGACTTTCCTAGACAAACAAAAGCTGATAAAGTTCATCACAACCAGACTTATCTTACAAGAAATGCTAAAGGGAGTTCTTTAAACTTAAAGAGTTACTAATGAGTAACACAAAACCTCTGAAAATATAAAACTCACTGGTAAAAGTAAGTACACAGTCAAATTCAGAATACTCTATTACTGTGATGGCATTGTGTAAATTACTTACATCTTTAGTATAAAGGTTAAAAGACAAAACTACCAGATATAATGATAACTATAATAATTTGTTAAAAGTGATATGCAATATATGAGATATAAATCATGACATAGAAAAATCAATATACAGAGTGGATAGAGTAAAAGAGTAGTTATTTTCTTTTTTTTGGGTGATAAAATTTTTTATTAGCTAAAAATAATCTGTTATGACTACAAGATTTTTTTTGTAGGCATCATGGTAACTGCAAAGCAAAAAAATAGAGTAGATAAAAAATAAAAATCAAGGAGTCAACACATACTATTCAAGAGAATAACAGCCACAAAGGAAGACAAGCGAGAGAAAAAGAAAGGAACAAAAGATCTCTAAAACAACCAGAAAACAGTTAACAAAATGATAGCAGTAAGTCCTTGAATTTAAATGGATTAATATCCAATCAGAAGACATAAATGTCTGAATGGATTTAAAAAAGCAAAAATACCCAATTATATGCTGCCTATAAGAGACTCATTTCACCTGAAAGGGACACACATAGATTGAAAGTAAAAAAATCAAAAAACATAGTCCATGCAAATGGAAGCCAAAAGAAAGCAGGAGTGTACTTACATCGGATGAAATAGACTTTAAGATAAAAATTATGAAAAAAGAGACAGCAAAAGTCATTATATAATGATAAAGGAGTCAAGTCATCAAGAGAACATAATAATTGTAAATAAATATGCACCTATATTGGAGCACATAAAGATAGAAAGCAAATATAACAATATCTGAAGGGAGATATAGACTGCAACACAATAATAGGAGATATCAACATCCAAGTATTAGCAGTGGACAGATCATACAGACAGAAAATCAATAAAGAAACAATGGACTTAAACTACACTAAATTAAATGGACCTAACAGGCATATGCAGAGCATTCTATCCAACAGTTACAGAATGCTTACTCTTTTCAATTACACATGGAACATTTTCCAATATGGAGCATATGTTAGGCCACAAAACAAGTCTTAACACATTTAAGAAGACTGAAATTATATCAAGCATCTTTCTGACCACAATGATGTAACTTGAAATCAATAACGGGAGAAACTTCAGAATATTTACAAATACATGGAAATTAAACAACATGCTCCTAAACAACCAATGGGTTAATAAAACAACTTGAAAGTATATTTAAAAATGTCTTGAAACTAACAAAAATGGACAAACAATATACCAAACCCTATGAAATACAGCAAAAGCAGCTCTAAGAGGGATGTTCATAGCAATAAATGCTTTCATCAGAAAATGAGAAAAATTTCAAATAACCTAATGTTTCACCTGAAAAAAACTAAGAAAACAATAATAAAGTATCTCAAAGTTAGTAAAAGGTAGGAAATATTAAATATCAAAGCAGAGATAAACAAAACAAAGTACAGAAAGAACATAGAAAAGATCCACAAAACGGAATTGCTTTTCAAAAGGTAAACAAAATCAGCAAAACTTTAACTAGATTAGAAAAGAATATTAAAAAAAAATCAGAAATGAAAGAGGAGACCTTAACAACTGATGCTACAGAAATACAAAGGATCATAAGAGACTACTACAAATAATTATGCATCAACAAATTGGACAACCAAGAAAAAATGAAATTCCTTGAGACACAAAGCCAGCCAAGGCTAAATTATGAAGAAATAGAAAATGCTAACAGACCAATCATGAATAAGTAGATTAAATCATTATTAAAAAGTCTTCCATCAAAGAAAAGCTCAGGACTTAATAGCTTCATACTAAATTCTATCAAACATTTAAACAAGATCTAATACCAATTCTTCTCGAACTCTTCCAAAAAATTAAAGAGGAAAGAATACCTCCAAACAACTTTTACAAAGCCAGCATCCTGATACCAAAGCCAAACAGACACTACAAAAAAAGAAAATTGCAGGCCAGTATCCCTGAAGAACATAGAAGCATAAATCCTTAGCAAAATACTGGTAAACCAAATTCAATAGCATGATGAAAAGATTATCTATCACAGGGATGCAAGGATGACTCAATAAATATAAATCAGTACATGTGTTAAAACCCATTAACAATCATGAAGGACAAAAACAATATGACCATTTCAATAGAGGCACAAAAATGATTTAATGAAGTTCAACATTCTTTTGTGATAAAAACACTCACAAAATTAGGTATACAAGGAATGTACTGCAATGAAATAAAGGCCATATATTATAAACCCAAAACCAATATTATATCCAATGGTGAAAATTTGAAAGGTTTTTCTCCAAGATCTAGGACAAGACAAGGTAACCCATTCTTGCCACTTCTGTTCAATATTGTACTGGAGGCCACAGCCATAGCAATTAGAAAAAAATAAATAAAAGGTGTCTTGATTGGAAAAGAAGAAATTAAAATGACTGTGTTTGCAGATGACATGATTTTATATATAAAACCCTAAAAAGTTTTATATATAAAAACACCTAAAAATGTTAGAACTACTAAACTAATTTAGTAAAGTTGCGGGATATAAAATTAGCATAAAAAATTAGTAGTGAGGCTGGGCACAATGGCGCACACCTGTAATCCCAGCACTTGGGAAGCTGAGGTTCAGGGAATCATTTGAGGCTAGGAGTTCAAGACCAACCTGGGCAGTTTAGCAATACCTCACCTCTGAAGAAAAAAAAAATTTTTTTTAATTAGTGACATTTCTATACATTGACAGCAAGCAATCTGAAAAAGAAATTAAAAAGATAATCTCATTTATAATTGTTAAAAAATAAATGCTTATGAATAAATTTAAAGAGATGAAAGATCTCTACATGGAAAACTATAAAATTATTGATGGAAGTACCTGAAGAAGACACAAATAAATGGAAATATATCTTGGGTACATGGAATGGGAAAATTAAGATTGTTAAAATATCCATACTGCCCAAAGTGATCTGACTCAACATCATCTCTTTCAGAATACCAATGACATTCTTCACAGAACTAGAAAAGAAATTCTAATATCTTATGGACCTCCAAAAAGATCCTGAATGGCCAAAGCAATCTTGAGCAAAAAGAACAAAGCTGGAGGAAATCACACTATGTGCCTTCAAAATATGCTACAAAGCTATAGTAACCAAAACATCATGGCATTGGCATAAGAACAGACACATAGACCAAGAGAGCAGAATAGAGAGCCCAGAAATAAATCCAAGCATTTACAGCCAACTGATATTTGACAAAGGTACCAAGAACATACAGTAGGGAAAGAGTACCCTCTTCAATGAATGGTGTTGGGAATACTGGATATCCACATGCAAAAGAATGACATTAGGCCCTTACTCATATCATAGACAAAAATCAACTTGAAATGGATTAAAAACATATGTAAGACCCCAATTTATGAAACTACTAAAAAAAAGGTGAAAAGCTGTGTGACATTGGTCTAGGTAATGCATTTGTATATGACCCAAAAAGCACAGGCAACATACGCAAAAATAGTCATACAAGATTACATCAAACTAAAAAGCTTCTGCACAGTAAACAAAACTAATAAAAAGAGTGAAGAGACAACCTAGAGAATAGGAGAAAATGTTTGCAAACTGTACATCTGATAAGAGGTTAATATTTAAAATATACAAGGAACTTAACAAAAAACAAATAATTGAATTTAAAAATGAGCAAAGGATCTGAATAGGCATTTCTCAAAAGAAGACATGCAAATCATCAACAGGTAAAAATCATGGCTTATCACTAATCATAAGGGAAATATAAATTAAACCACAATGAGACATCTCACACCTGTTAAAAATGGTTTTTATCAAAAAGACAATAGATAACAAATATTGGCAAACAGGTAGAGAAAAGGGAACTCTCACACACTGCTGGTGGGAATGCAAGTATTATAGCCATTAGAGAAAACAGTATGAAGTTTCCTCAATTAATTAAAAATAGAACTACCATGTAATCCCACAATTCCACTCCTAGATATATATCCAGAGAAGATAAAATCAGTAAGTCAAAGAGACATCTGCACTCCCCTGTTTACTGAATCATTATTCACCATAGCCAAGATACAGACTCAACCTAAGTATCTATCAATGGATGAATGGATAAAGAAAATGTGGTACATATACACAATGGAATACTATTCCAGCATAAAAATGGAAGGAAACCCTGTCGTCAGTGACAACATGGATGAACCTGGAGGGCATTATAAGTGAAACAAGCCAGGCACAGAAAGACAAATACAACATGATCTCACTCATAAGTGGAATCTAAAAAAGTTGATCTCATAGAAGTAGAAAGTAAAATAGTGGTTACCAGGGAATGGGGTATTTGGTAGTAGGGGGGTTAGGAAGATGTTGGTCAAAGGATACAAAATTTTAATTAAATAAGAGGAATAAGTTAAAGAAATCTAGTGTACAACATGGTGACTATACTTAACAATATACTATGCTAAAAAATGCTGAGACTGTGGATGTGAAGTGATCTCACCACAAAGATAATAACTATGGCAGAAATCTATATGTGAATTAGCAAGATTTACTTATTATAAATGTATATGTACTTCAAAATAATATTTTGTACAGTTTAAGTATGTACTTTTTTCTGTCAATTCAAAAAAATTAGAAGAGTAAGACCTCGAATGAGATAATTTTTCAGGAAAACCATATTCTTTTTTTTCTGTTTCTAATTTTCTTTTTATGTTCATACGAGAGGAATATATAACAGAAGATTTATTTTAAAAGTTTAAATTTAAAAGCCTAAGTGATAAAATATTATGGTTTATGTGACAGCATTTATAATTCCTTAATCATTAATAAAATATTGACATATTTGACAAACAGTAGAATCTTATATTTAGTGAAACATATAAAAATTCACTCTTTTATAAAATCCTGGGTCATTTAATACATTTTTTAAGTAAAATCATAGAATCATAGTTAGTTAAAAATAGGGCATTAGAAATCATGTAGTCTAATTTTCTCACATTGAATATACAAATATTGTAATTATATATAAATAAAGTTACCTATTTTCAAGGATATAGTTACTGATCTGACATATTCAGTGTTTTTTCTTGTCTGTTGGATCCATGTTGAGTAATTCATTTCTCTCTTGATATTATATGGAAGAACTGTATTGCAGCAATCTGGTTTTATACTAGAAAGAGCTGGCGTCATAAACAGAAGGTTCTAAAAGTGTCTCAAGATGCTAAGAAATTCCTGAAGCCTATTTTATCCTTTGTTCCTGATAACTTGCCTTCCTGCCATGTGCTATGAGGCCTATGATTCAAATGAGCTCTCTGCAAAATATGGATAACAAAAATATGCCTTGCTTCTGAAAAACCTCCTTACCCACCCCCCACCACCAACAGAAGGGAACCATGGTCATGATTAACAGCCTTCCTACAAGGAATATGTTATAGTTTATATTAATTCACTCTTAGCTTCTCATAAATAATAGGAACCACCAATGCACCAAGGTTTTGATTTTCCAGCATTAAATTTAGAGTCAACTTTTAGCAAGTGAGAAACCTATTAATTTAGCTGTATTATAGTCATTTAACAGAAATTTAAATTTAGGTTGGCAAGTTGAGAAGTACTCAGGGAAATGTGCAGGCATACATTAGAGATATTGCTGTTTCAGTACCAGTCAGTTGAAATAAAACAAATATCTCAATAAAGAAAATCACACAAGTTTTTTGGCTTCCTAGCACATATAAAAGTTATGTTTATACTACATTGCACTCTATTAAGCGTGAGATAGCTTTGTGTGTAAAAAACCAAACTATATACCTTAATTTAAATATACTTTGTTGCTAAAATATCTTAACAATTATCCCAGTCTTCAGTGGGTTGTAAATTTTGTTGGTGGATGGTTTTGCCTTGATGTTGATGGCTGTTGATTGAGTGGGGTGGTATTTGTTGAAGATTGGGGTGGCTGTGGCAATTTCTGAAAATAAGACAACAATGAAATTTGCCACATCAATTGACTATCCTTTTACAAAAGATTTCTCTGTAGCATGTGATGCCCTTTTACAGCATTTTACCCACAGAAGAACTTCTTTCAAAATTAAAGTCAATCTTTTCACACGCTGCTGCTGCTGCCTTATCAACTAAGTTTATATAATATTCTAAAGCCTTAGATGTCATTTCAACAATGTTCACAGCATCTTCACCAGGAGTAGATTTCATCCCAAGAAACCACTTCCTTTGCTCATCCCTAGCAAGGAATTCCTCATCTGTTCAAATTTTATCATGAGATTGCCACAATTCAGTCACATCTTTAGCCTTCACTTCTAAATCTGGTTCTCTAGCTGTTTCCACCACACCTGCAGTGACTTCCTCCACCAATGTCTTGAACTCCTCAAAGTCATCCATGAAGGTCAAAAAAAACTTCTTCTGAACTCCTGTTAATGTTGGTATTTTTACTTCTTTTCATGCATCACAAAAGTTCTTAATGACATTTAGAATGGTAATCCTTTCCAGAAGGATTTCAATGACTTTGCCCAGATCTGTTACAGCAGTGGTTCCCAACTCCTGGGAGGAACTGAGCTGTGCAGCAGGAGGTGTGTGGTAGGTAAGTGAGCAAAACTTTATCTGTGTTTATAGCCGCTCCTCATTGTTTGCATTATCTCCTGAGCTCCACCTCCTGTCTGATCAGTGGCAGCATTAGATTATCCTAGGTGCATGAGCCCTGTTGTGAACTGTTCATGTGAGGGAACTAGGTTGCATTCTCCTTATGAGAATCTAATGCCTGATGATCTGTCACTGTCTCTCATCACCCCCAGATAGGAACATCTAATTGTGGGAAAACAAGCTCAGGGTTCCTACTGAGTCTACATTATGGTGAGTTTTGTATTTATTTCATTATAATAATGATAATAGAAATAAAGTGCACAATAAATGAATGTAATGTGCTTGAATCATCTCATAACCATCCCTCCCCCCTTGTCCATGGAAAAATTGTCTTCCATGAAACTAGTCTCTGGTGCCAAAAAGGTTAAGGACTGCTGTGTAGTGGAATCATTATTTATGGGAGCTATGGCCTTATGAAGTGTATTTACTTAAATAATATTTGAAAGTAAAAATGACTCTGATCCATGGGCTGCAGAATGGATGTTGTGTTAGCAGGCATGAAAACAACATTAATCTCTTTGTTCATCTCTATCAGAGCTGTTCAGTGACTATGTGCATTGTCAATGAGCAGTAAAATTTTGAAAAGAATCTTTTTTTCTGAGCAGTAGGTCTCAATAGTGGTGTAAAAATATTCTATAAGCCATGCTATAAACAGATTTGTCATCATACAGTCTTCGTTGTTTTTTTAATAGAGCCCAGGCAGAGTAGGTTTAGCAGAATTCTAAAGTGCCCTAAGATTTTGGAAATGGTGAGTGAGTCCCAGCTTTAACTGAATGTCACCAGCTACATAAGCCTCTAACAAGAGAGTCAGCCTTTCCTTCCAATATTTTAAGCCAGACATTGACTTCTCCTCCTTATCTATAAAAGTCTTAGATGACATGCTTCAATAGAAGGCTATTTTGTGTACATCTGAAATCTGTTGTGTCATGGAACAAGCTTTATCAATGATCTCAGCTAGATTTTCTGGATAACTTGCTGCAGCTTTTACCTCAGCACCTGCTGCTTCACCTTGCACTTTTATGTATGTAAATGGCTTCTTTTCTTAAATATCATGAACCAACCTCTACTAGCTTCGAACTTTTTTCCTGCAGCTTCCTCACCTCTCTCAGCCTTCACAGAGTTAAAGAGAGCTAGAATCTTGCTCTGGATTATGTTTTGGCTTAAGAAAATGTCGTGGCTAGGTTGATCTCCTATTCAGACAACTTATCTAATGGGTGCAGGAGAGCTAGCTTTTGGTCTGTCTCGGCTCTTGACTTGCCTTCCTCGTGAGCCTTAATCATGTCTAGCTTTTCTTTTAAAAATGGTAGGTGTCCTTTCACTTCAACACTTAGAGGACATTGTAGCATTATTAATCAGGCCAATTTCAATATTTTTGAAAAATCAATATTGTTTTATTTCAGGGAATAGGGAAGCCTGAAAAGAATGAGAGAGAGTGGCCAGTCAGTGGAGCTGTCAGAACATAAACATTTATTGATGAAGTCTGTGGTCACAATTTGTGGCATTCCAAAACAATGACAATAGTAACATCAAATGTCACTGATCTCAGATCACCATGACAGACAAAATACTAATGAAAACGTTTGAAATATTGTGACACAGAGACACAAAGTGAACACATGCTGTTGGAAAACTTTTGCTGATAAACTTGCTTAACATAGTGATTTCACATTCTTTCAATTTTTAGAAAACACAATATCTGCAAAGCACGATAAAGGAAAGCACAATAAAATGAAATATGCATATAGGATTTTTTTTCTATTCTCTATTGGTTCCATCTTTAGAATTAAATTGTAAAGCTGACAAGCCTGTTACCTGGTTAATAGTGAACAAATGTCTGCTAAAATGAAGATAAAATGAAAAAAAAAATGCCAGGGTTATATCCTTTGATTCTAAGGCTGAAAGTGAGCCTATAGTCCTTGCAGAGCCAAACATTAGCACCAAAGTGAGTTTTTATCAAAGGTCTTTGCTGGGGACACTGTTTCTGCTGGCTGATTTCTTTAATAGCACTACTCTGTCTCATCCACCACTGACTCAGTAGGTGTGACAGGAGAAAAAACTCACTGTGACAAGGAGCTAAGAAAGGCTGAGTTCTACACCTGCATTTTCTAATAAAAAAATATGGGCAGTAACACAGAGCAATTTCTATGGTCCCGTTTTTGTCTCTCCTTTTTTTTTTCTTCATATAAAAAATATCAAGTAAAATATCTGTTTAAATTTGCATTTCTATTTCAAATAACACTAGAACTCCTGCTATGAGTTTCAAAATAAAAATTAAATGAATGTCTTCATTATTGTGATTGTGTATAGCTAACCTAGCACATCTGGCTGTGGTAGAAAAGTGATAATCTTGAGACCTCTAAATGATCTAAAAAGGAAGGTATAGAGATTTAGAGTGTGAAAGGACTCACTGTATCTTAAATCACCCCCTTAAGAGAGTGAACTTTGCCCTGGAGTCTTGTCCTCAGTGATACAAATTATTCAAGAACAATCTGCTCCTTTATCTTAAAGTAGAGAAACAACTCAATTTTTTTTTTTTTTTTTTTTTTGAGATGGAGTCTTGCTCTGTCACACAGGCTGGAGTGCAGTGGCCCAATTTTGGCTCACTGCAACCTCTGCCTCCTGGGTTCAGGCGATTCTCCTTTCTCAGCCTCTCTAGTAGCTGGGATTACAGTTGTCAGCCACCACATTCGGCTAACTTTTTATAATTTTGGTAGAGACAAGGTTTCACCATGTTGGCCACGCCGGTCTCGAACTCCTGACCTCAAGTAATCCACCTGCCTTGGCCTCCCAAAGTGCTGGAATTACAGGCGTGAGCCACAGCACCTGGCCAAGAACAGCTCAACCTTTATTTGGGTGGAGTAAATATAAGCAAGTACCCAAAAGGAAGAGAGTTGTTAGATTTTGTTTTTACTCTTTCAGGCTGTAGTATAATGACAACACCTGGAAAGTGGTAATCCTTTCCAGAAGGATTTCGATTACTTTGCCCAAATCTGTTACAGCAGTGGTTCCCAACCCCTGGGAGGAACTGGGCTGTGTAGCAGGAGGTGTGTGGTAGGTAAGCGAGCAAAGCTTCATCTATGTTTATAGCCGCTCCTCATCGTTTGCATTATCTCCTGAGCTCCACCCCCTGTCAGATCAGTGGCAGCATTAGATTAGCTGGGCATGGTGGCACACACCTGTAGTCCCAGCTACTCAGGAGGCTAAGGCAGGAGAATCACTTGAACACAGGAGGCGGAGATTGCAGTGAGCTGAGATCTCACCTTCGCACTCCAGGCTGGGTGACAGAGCAAGACTCTGTCTCAAAAAAAAAAAAAAAAAAGAAAAAAGAAGAAAATAGTTCAAATGCAATTTCCCACGTATGGATATAAACTTTCTGAAATGTTCAAATAATATATCTGACGAATATATCTAAGTTATTTTTTTTGTTGTTGAGATGGGGTCTCACTCTGTCACCAGGCAGGGGTGCAGTGGCATGATCATTGCTCATTGGAGTCTCAACTTCCTGGGCTGAAGTGATCCTCCCACTTCAGCTTTTGGAGTAGCTGGGACTACAGATGCTTGCCACCATGCTTGGCTAATTTTTGTATTTTTTGTAAAGATACAGTTTCACCATGTCGCCCAGACTGGTCTTGAGCTCCTAGGCTCAAGTGATCTGCCCACCTTGGCCTTCCAAAGTGCTAGAATTACAAGTGTGACCCACCTTACCCGGCTGAGTTATTCTTTAACGACTGAATAGTTCTGAGTTATTCTTTGACAGGTCCAAGCTCCATTTCTTAGCTGACATTGCTCACAAATACAAATTACTATGAGGCTTCTATACCATTGGGCTTAAATATTCAGGACTCTTGTTTAAAATAGTTGTCCACCTCCTTCTTTCCAAGAAATAAGGAAATTTTCATGACTTATATTGCTGCACCTTAGTCACTTACAGAAGCTCAGTCCTTCTAGGCTATATAATACCATGGAGAATTTCATGCTCATATCGCTCTGTCTAGGCCATGTGCTACTTTGATTCAGCCCCACACACTGCACCTCTCTGCCACAATGATTTTTCCAAACCCTGTTCCTTGCCCATGAGAAATCTTTTAAGAGTTCTTTTTCTTTGTGTTTAAAAAAAATCTCTATTTCTTAAATGAAACCTTGCTATTTACCAAACACACCATCTTCCTGAAGCTGAAGCCCTCTCCTGTGGAGGGGGAACTCTGCATAAAATTCTGGCATTTCTCCTATAAATTTAATGTATTGAACATATTTATATTCATTACCTATAATACACTGACTTCTTAATATTTCAGCTTTGTAACCTCTTACGATCTTTACTCATACTACTTTAACTACCCACTTAATCACCCCTAGGCTGTGATATAACATGGAACGTTCATCTTTCAAAATCTTAGCTGCAAACCACTACTTCTTATTCCTCTGCCTTACTTTTTCTTTATTTCTTTTTTTTTTTTTCTTTGAGACGGAGTCTCACTCTATCGCTAGGTTGGAGTGCAGTGGCGCGATTTCGGCTCACTGCAACCTCCGACTCCCTGGTTCAAGCGATTCTCCTCCCTCAGCCTCCCGAGTAGCTGGGATTACAGGCCTGCGCCACTATGCCCAGCTAATTCTTTTTTATTTTTAGTAGGGATAGGGTTTCACCATTTTGGCCAGGGTGGTCTCGATTTCCTGACCTCGTGATCTGCCCACTTCGGCCTCCCAAAGTGCTGGGATTACAGGCATGAGCCACCGTGCCTGGCCCTGGCTTACTTTTTCTAGCGTCCAAACTACAAAAATTGTTTACTTTTATGAGACCCCCAAACAATTATTAGTACCTAAATTTTGTGAGACTTTTTTGCTTTTTTTTTTTTTTTTCACAGTCATGATATGGTACCATCCTCTCATCTCTCTCCTATTTTAAACCATTTTTGATTCTATGATCTTGATTGTTATCCTAGGGGTCCTCCTAGGCTCTTGTCTTTCTCTCACATTTCCTGTGAATTCTATTTAGGATATGCTTTCAATTTTATTTTCAAAATATTTCTAAAATATTACTACCTTCTCACCACCTCCTTTGCCATAGTCCTATTCCAATACTGCCTCATTTTATACCTGAGTTATTTTAATGGCCTCTAAAATGACTTTCCATTCTTTTGTTATCCTCTCCCAAAGCCAGTTCTACACATAGCCACCTGTGTGTGTTTTAATTAAGAAATACCTTCTAATTGTTTCCTTCTCACTCTCAACAAATTTCAGTCCTATCTACAGCCTACAGAGTTTTACATGATCTGATGTATGGTTGCTTCCTGGATGTTATTGTACTATTCTCCTCTCTGGCCATACTGTTTTTGTTTTTGTTTTTTTCTGTTTCCGATTTCTCTACACAGACTTGCTCCTCGGGGCATTTGCACTTGATGTTCCCTGTACTTGGTCTGTTACTCTTCCAGACAGCCTCTAAAGTTTCTTGCATGCCTCTTTCGGGTTTTGGCTAAAAGTTCACTAGTACAATGAGACCTATCTTTAAACTGGCACTTTCTTCCCAAAGGCACAATTCTCTCTACCCTGCTCTGTTAGTCTCTTCTGGCTGCCATACCAAAAGACAACAGACTGGGTTGTATTTTCTCACAGTTCTGGAGTCTGGGAAGTCTAAGATTAAGGTTCTTTCTGATTTGATTTGTGACAAAGGCTCTCTTTCTGGCTCTCTTCACATAGCCTTTCCTTAGTGCCTGCTGGCCGAGAGAGAGAGAGCATGCTCTCTGTTGTCTCTTATTATAAGACGTCTCACTCAACCTATAGAATCAGAGCCCTACCTTTCTGACCTCATTTGACCTTAGTTCTTTGCTTAGAGCCCCCATCTCCATAAAAAAGACATACTAGAAGTTAGGAATTAAACGTGACTCTCAGAGAACAGAAACATCCAGTCCGTAACATGTACTTTATTTTCCTCTACAGTACTCATCAATTTCTGGCCTATTTATGTTTTTTCTCTGACTCCTTCCCTCTCATGCCTCCTGGAATATCAGCTCTCATTTTTGTTTTGTTCACTGATCAATCTCCAGAGCCCAGAGGAATGCTTGGCCTAAAGAAAGCACTCAAAAATGTGCTGAATGAATAGATTAACTCTTCTTTTTAAACACCCTTACTTCTCTCTTCCTTTGGCATGCTTGCCTGTGGAAAAGAACGCTTGTAGAAAATATTTTGAAAAAAAAAAAAAGATTTTATTTAAAGAGGTCAAGATAAGCCAATAGAAGGGAAACTTTAGGTGATCTTATTCTACTCAGATGTCCCATTGATAAAAGGATCTTATGGTTATCTTTGGCTAGTTTTTATATCTCTTGATGCTCCTAGAAAAACTTACCAAGGAAAGAAAACTAAAATAGACTTTAGATAAAGCCTAAAACCATGAATCATTACAGTGTTGCATGCTTTGACTTATAAAAGGCTTTCTGCAAAGGTTTTTGTATTTTTCAAAACAGATGTTTTAAGCATCAATTGTAAGGAATGAATATGCCTAGCACTATTTTATTAAAGCAACTTAGGCATGATAACTTATGGAAATATTTTACTTGTTACTGATATATATTTTATTTATTACAACAGAGATTTTACAAATTGATTTTCCATTCAATATTTGAACAAGTTTGTTTTAATTGAAAGAAAACTAATCAGCGTCATTTTATTCTATTCATTTGCTTTCATTGTGCTCTATATTTTCAGAGAAAAAATATTCTTACTCAGAACTTTAAGAATCAGAATTAATGTTATTTATTTTGTACATGACTAAAAAAATTGGCATAAAAATAATTTGCAAAACCACAGTATAGTTATTTGACTATTAGTTGGCTGTTTACTCAGTGGCTTTCTCAGGAAAGTATGACATGAATCTTTTGTGTGGGTAATATATGGTAAATATCCAGTGAGTTACTACAAGGTGACATTGGATAGTAGGTTAAGTAAGATAATTTTGGAGGCAAATAGAACTGCATTCAAATCCAGGTTTTCACTAATGTCACTTGCGTGACTTGGTGCTAATTCCTTAATATTATTCTAATTTTTTTATCTATGAATTAAAGTTGTTATTAATACCCAGCTCATAATGTTGCTTTCACTCAAAAATGTTTACTATAACAATATGTTTCAGACTCTTTTAGGAATTTGGATAGAGAAATGTTGTGAATATTGAATGCTTGTGAAAAACTTGCATAGTAAGTGTTTCATAAATGTGAGCTATTACATCTTTTACTCAGAAACTAAATGTGGGAAGTATTAATTGACAGAAACTTATGTTTACATCATAATTTATTATTCTTCTCACTAAAATATATTTTTCAAAAACTTACATTTAATCCTTGGGCATTTCTAACCTACTTCCATTTGTATTATTTATGTGGTCCACGGCCGTTTTATAATTTAAGTAAATTGATGCTTCCTAGTTAGATGCTTAAAAATTTATAATGTACTGCAAAAGAAAATGTATCTTCTGAGTGACTGCTATGGAAAACCTATCTAAATTATAGGTAATCGTTCTGTATTTGCTTAACACTTTCAGGACTATAAAAGTATAAGGACCAGCTTCATTTGAGAAAAAATAAAAAGTTATTTAGAAATATTATAGTCAATATTCTAGAGAAGCCAATAGTTTTGTTTTCTTTTGTCTCCAAACATACGTTTCAGACCATAATATCAATGTTTAGGCTACGGTACTAGAATTTCTGTTATTTTTCACTGTTAAACGAGCCTGAATATTAGACCAAGTTTATAACAGCATCATGTTAGGGTATTTTTTTTCTTTCTTTTTTTTTTTTTTTTTTTAGATTTTGACTTAGTTCACACTGAAGAAAATGAATTAAGATTAGAAGATAACTAGGGATGGATAGTGCCTCATTGAGAGAAAAATCTAATCAATAATCCCTGCCTCACAGGATAGACTTCATTATTCATTACCTGCTTTTAACAGATGGCTGCCATGGTCCTCAACTGGGGAATGGAGGATGTATCTCAGTTCACTCCCCTGAGGCCATAATATCTTCTCAGGCAAAACTATTGTCCTATTTGGCACCACTCCATCTTAGTGCAGGAGAAATGGGGTCAGTGAAGACAGACATCTGTGGAGCAGAGTTTAGGAGCATTGTTAGTAAATCCAAAGAAAATGCATGTTTGGAGATCCGGAAGTAGCAGTTATAATTCTCCCTGCTTACAAAACCCAAAGCCAGAAATTAAGTTACTGAAAGTAAATCACTACACTGAGGATAATTTGTTAAGAATACTTTTTCAAAGGTAATTTTATAACTAACAGATACTAAGCAGCATATTAGAAAAAAGAGACTTACAAAGAAAAGAGTTTGTATAAGAGCATGTAATATTATTAATTTAAATGAAAGGGTGATTTTCTAAAATATTTCTTGATATTATTTAATAATTGGCCTAGGTAATCCTGTTAAATTAGGCTCTGCATATACATATAGGCTTATAAATGTAAGAGGGTAGAAAATATCTGGATTAACCTCATGCAACTAACCTTAGTAGAGGGATGAGAATGACAATGATGTACATTAACAGTAGAGTTTTCAGGGCATTTTTACAGTAATTATTTCACTTAATCCTTAATCATTGGGACATCCTTTGTCATAGTTACTTCAATACTCAATTTTTAGATGAGAGATAATAGAATTTTTTTTTTTTTGAGACAGAGTCTCACTCTGTCTCCAGGCTGGAATGCAGTGGCGCAATCTTGGCTCATTGCAACCTGTGCCATCTGGGTTTAAGTGATTCTCCTGCTTCAGCATCCTGAGCAGCTGGGACTACAGGTGCCCACCACCACACCTGGCTAATTTTTCTATTTTTAGTAGAGATGGCGTTTCACCATGTTGGCCAGGATGGTCTCAATCTGTTGACCTCATGATCTACCTGCCTTGGCCTCCCAAAGTGCTGGAATTACAGGCATGATCCACCGTGCTTGGTCAAGATTATACAAATTTTAAGGTCACAAATTGGGACTAAAACTTTCATCTTTGGTCACTTAAGCCCTGGTCTCTTTTCACTAAATTTCACAATCAAAATTTACTTTTTTTTCACTGGAATGATATTTTACTTTTCTTTAGAAGAGTGGCTGTCATATTTGACTATCTCTTCCACAACTCAATTCAAGGGAATTTATTCTGAAAAAGGAACAGTATAGAAATTCATGACAACCAGAGAGCTTTTCTTATGGTAAAAGAAATATACATTCTTTACACTGGAGATAAATCCTAAAAGGTTGTACCAAAGGGAAACCAGGGAAGCCACAAATAGCCTTTCCACAAACATTTACCTATTGGAATCTTTGCTTTTCCACCTTTACTTCTTTCACCTGTTTCAGGTTTTCTTGCTGAGGAAGAAAAATGTCATTTGATTTCTCCAATTAACACAGTTATTAGTGATCCAATAAATAATCCTGATGATGCTGAACATCTGCAAAGAAGAAAATAAAACTATAAAATGCATTATATATTTTAAAAAGAAAACCACAGAAAAGAAACCAAATTTATACACTTGGGAAGGAGGGAGGGAATCTCAGTTGAAAGAGAGTAAAAAGATAATACTGATAGATTTTTTTTTTTTTCATTTGGAGGTCTGGCAATTGTATGATTAAACATATAAATTATTTTATTCTTTTTCATTATTCAAGTTTGTTCTCCTGATGGGTTTGTCCATTTACTAAAGAAAACTAATAATCTCACTCAAAAAGACTAGGTGGAAAGGGAACAACTTAGTTCTCCTTATGCCTGGGACATCATAGACAGGGCACCCTAAGAAAAAAAAAATCAATTTTTATTTGTTTCTTTTGTATTAACAACACATAAAGTTAAAAAAATGTGAGGTTGATTTTTTCTTTTTTTTTTTTGGGACGGAGTCTTGCTCTGTCACCCAGGCTGGAGTGCAATGGCGCCATCTCGGCTCACTGCAAACTCCGCTTCCTGGGTTCACGCCATTCTCCTGCCTCAGCCTCCCAGGTAGCTGGGACTACAGGCACCTGCCACCACGCCCAACTAATTTTTTGTATTTTTAGTAGGGTTTCACCGTGTTAGCCAGGATGGTCTCGATCTCCTGACCTCGTGATCCGCCCGCCTCGGCCTCCCAAAGTGCTGGGATTACAGGCGTGAGCCACTGCGCCCGGCTCGATTTTTTTTTAAAGTTAAGACTTACGCCTACTTGTATATTGTCAAAAGCCACCTATTTTTAATCATTTTCTCTTTCCTGAGCACAGAACACAAGTTCACAAGTTTAAAAACAAATCATAATACCTTACTACATGAAACACAGGCTGACTTTATTTTTTAAATATAAAGGAAGGTATTCTAACTTTGGAGGGCTTTTTCTCGGTAACCGCTGCAAAGTAAGATTTTAAAATAAAAAATAATTATACAAATAAGATTCAATGAGAAGAGTAATTTATAAAATGTGCTCAAACAGAATCAAATCAGTATTACTGAATCTCCTGTGAATACCATTTTAAATACTACTTTCTATTCCTTCTAGGGTTGGGTTATTGATTATAAAAATTGCTCCCAAACCTCTATTCTAAATAATTGCACTCTTACTTGTCTTTTCCCCTCCAGTGCTATGAAAATTACAGCATTCTGATCAATAAGGATATAAAATCAGAGGAACAGAAACAGTGATTTCTGCCTTTCTAGGCAATTCATATTTTTGTGAACACAAATACTTTGCTGTAATCACTTTTCTCTGAGGAGTATGTTTTTGAAAGCTTTTTAAAATGAGAAACACTGAATACGTTTTTATTTTGTTTTGTTTATTTTCCTTATCACATCTCATTGGGTTGTTAGTTATATATGCTGGGTTTTCTCTTTCAGATGCCTTCATGAAAAAAGAAAGCAAATTTTTCCTATAGTTAGGAAATGCTAAGAAAACCCATTTGATTAAATTGCCATTTAAAGTCAAGACAAACACTTAAAATCAGTAAGCATTTGTAGTATTGACTTCAAATTGATTGAGTTTAGTTTTAATTTTATTATTGCAAATGTCCTAGATAAATCTTAATTGTTTTGGGTGGTAGAAGGCCAAAGATAAATGGAGCCACATTTTTTTAGCTAAATGTAAAACTCACAACATGTTATTAATCTTTAAAGACAATATAGAAGAAACTCAGCTCTGCTTCCTGGCTGTGGAGAGAGAGGCAGAACTGAATAGAAAACAGTTAAAATTTTGTTTCTGTTTGAGGTTCTTTACATTTTTAAACAAGACAAAACAAAATAAGATGTATTAACTTGCCCCAGAATAGGCCCATTAAAAACAAAACCATCTACTAGAACTTTTTTTTTTGGTTAGAATACTGTATTAGTCCAGTCTCATGCCACTATAAAGAACTGCTCAAGACTGGGTAATTTATAACAGAAAGAGGTTTAATTCACTCACAGTTCAGCATGGCTGGAGAAGCCTCAGGAAACGTACGATAATGGTGGAAGGGGTAGCAAACACATTCTTCTTCACATGGAGGCAGCAAGGAGAAGTGTACAGTGGATATAGGGAAAAGCCCCTTATAAAACCATCAGATCTTGTGAGAACTCACTCACTATCACAGGAACAGCATGGAGGTAATTGCCCCCATGATTCAATTATCTCCCATCAGCTCACTCCCAAAAAACATGGGGATTAAGGAAACTACAAGTGAAGATGAGATTTGGGTGGAGACACAGCCAAACCGTATCAAATACCCTCCTTACTGTACAACTTTTCTTCTTATTACAAAGGTGTAGTTTACTTTGAGGTAGAGATGAAGGATCTGGTATTTAGGAAATTCTAAGAAAGCAGCATATAGGCCATACTATAACATTTCTTGTCCTATAACCTTGTCCCCTTTTTACCTTCAGGACATCTTTTATAAGTTTCTGACAGAAACCAGTGACCTTTCAGTTGTTTTATTTTTGAATAACAAAGTTTTGTTTCGGAAAAATCTATTTATGGGAAATTACTTCAATCAATGTGTCAGAAAGCCACCTGACACAATCAAGGTAACAACATTGAAAAAAAAGGAAATAAATTGGCCGGGGGCGGTGGCTCAAGCCTGTAATCCCAGCACTTTGGGAGGCCGAGGCAGGCATATCACGAGGTCAGGAGATGGAGACCATCCTGGCTAACACGGTGAAACCCCATCTCTACTAAAAAAAAAAAATACAAAAAAATTAGCCAGGCATAGTGTCAGGCGCCTATAGTCCCAGCTACTCGGGAGGCTGAGGCAGGAGAATGGCGTGAACCCGGGAGGCAGAGCTTGCAGCGCACCGAGATTGTGCCACTGCACTCCAGCCTGGGGGACAGAGCGAGACTCCGTCTCAAAAAATAAATAAATAAATAAATAAATAAGTAAATAAATTTATGTCGCATTTAGTGATTATTCCCTGTGACCCTGTGATTGATCTCACAATTGCAAGAATAGACAGAAATTTTAAGTATTTTAAAGATCCCTTATAAATAACAATAAAGTGGTTGCATTGTAGAACTCACAAGTGTAACCTCACATGATAAGAAAAAGATATACCTATTCTACCATGTGTACTTGTGGCTTGGAATAAAAGTTCAGGTGATGGAAACATGTAATATGCAAAACTTCTTTTTTTTTGGGTGGGGGAGGGAGTCTTGCTCTGTCGCCCAGGCTGGAGCGCAGTGTGCCGTGGCGCGATCTCGGCCCACTGCAAGCTCCACCTCCCAGGTGAATGCCATTATCTTGCCCCAGCCTCCTGAGTAGCTGGGACTACAGGCGCCCGCCACGACACCCGGCTAATTTTTTGTATTTTTAGTAGAGATGGGGTTTCACCGTGTTAGCCAGGATGGTCTTTATCTCCTGACCTCCTGATCCGCCCGCCTCGGCCTCCCAAAGTAATATGCAAAATTTCATACAACTTTAATGAAAGTAAAAATGGTATGTTTTAAAAACCTACGTTACTGAAAAAGTAGACCCAGTAATGACCCATGTGCTAATGTTGAAAAAGTACAAGGAGTGTTTCAATAAATTTATGAAATAAAATTGTTTAAAATGGCAATATTTGTAAACTACCCTCCTACTGTATATGACATATACTTTTGTATATTTTATATAATGAAATTAATTATTTTAAATATATAATTTGTCTTATACTTTTCAAAAAGGTATTGTAACAAACATGTCAATCAATAAAATATTAAGTATTTTCACTGGTTATTGGGGGGATATTGCATTATATCCAGGTTTACATTACATTCAGTTATGTAGAGTAATTCATTTTTATTATTAGCTGCATCTTTGAGCTTTCTGCAGCGTGGCCCAGTCTCTTTGCTCCGTGTGTGTGTGTGTGTGTGTGTGTGTGTGTGTGTGTGTGTGTGTGTAGTGGGGGGAAATCTAGGGGTTGAGAAGACATCAAAAATGCCTATGACACAAAAAGTGATCATATATTTTCAGGTAAGTCATGGATTCCTTTCCATTTTTTTTTTTTCTATTCCTTTCTTTGGTAGCTCAGTTTAATTTCTCCAAATGGAAGTTCCAACCATGGCTTACTCAGCAGAACTTATACTGCAGAAATACTTGTGTGTCTGTGTGTATGTATTAGTCTATTTTCACACTGCTGATAAAGACATATCCGAGACTGGGAAGAAAAAGAGGTTTAATTGGACTTAGAGTTTCACATGGTTGGGGAGGCCTCAGAATCATGGCAGGAGGTGAAAGGCACTTCTTACATGGCAGTGGCAAGAGAAAGTGAGGAAGATACAAAAGCAGAAACCCCTGATAAAACCATCAGATCTTGTGAGACTTGTTCACTACCATGAGAACAGTATGGGGGAAACAGTCCCCATGATTCAAATTATCTCCCACTGGGTCCCTCCCACAACACATGGGAATTATGGGAGTATAATTCAAGATGAGATTTGGGTGGGGACAGAGAGCCAAACCATATCATTCTGCCCCCGAACCCTACAAATCTCATGTCCTCACATTTCAAAACCAGTCATGCCTTCCTAACAGTCCCCCAAAGTCCTAACTCATTTTCATTTACCCAAAAGTCCACAGTCCAAAGCCTCATCTAAGACAAGACAAGCCCCTTCCACCTATGAGCCTGTAAATCAAAAGCAAACTAATTACTTCCTAGATACAGTGGGGGTGCAGGTATTAGGTAAATACAGCCATTCCACATGGGAGAAATTGGCCAACACAAATGGGTGACAGGGCCCATGTAAGTCTGAAGTCCAGCTGGGCCATCAAATTTTAAAGCTCCATAATGATCTCCTTTGACTCTAGGTCTCACATCCAGGTCACACCAATGCAAGAGGTGGGTTCCCATGGTCTTGGGCAGCTCCACCCCTGTGGCTTTGCAGGGTACAGCCTCCCTGCTGGCTGCTTTCATGGGCTGGTGTTGAGTGTCTGTGGCTTCTCCAGGCATAACCATGCAAGCTGTCAGTGGATCTACCATTCTGGAGTCTGGAGGATGGTGGCACTCTTCTCACAGCTCTACTAGGTGGTGCCCCAGTAGGCACTCTGTATGAGGGCTCCGACCCTACATTTTCGTTCTGCACTGCCCTAGCAGAGGTTGTCCATGAGCACTTGCCTCCTGCAGCAGTCTTCTGCCTGGGCATCCAGGGGTTTCTATACAGATTCTGAAATCTAGGTGGAGGTTCCCAAACCCCAGTTCTTGACTTCTATGCACTCACAGCCTCAACCCAATGTGGAAGCTGCCAAGGCTTGGGGCCTGCACCCTCTGAAGCCATGGCCCAAGCTGTACGTTGACCCCTTTCAGCCATGGCTGGAGCAGCTGGGATGCAGGGCACCAATTCCCTAGGCTGCATACAGCATGGGGACCCTGGGCTCAGCCCATGAAACAACTTTCTCCTTGGCCTCTGGGTTTGTGATAGGAGGGGCTGCTGTGAAGACCTCTAACATGCCCCGGAGATATTTTCCCTATTGTCTTGGGGATTAACATTTGGCTCCTGGTTACTTCTGCAAATTTTTGCAGTCAGCTTGAATTTTGCCTCAGAAAATGGGGTTTTCTTTTCTATCACATTGTTAGGCTGCAAATTTTCTAAACTTTTATGCTCTGCTTCCACTATAAAACTGAATGCCTTTAACAGCCGCCAAGTCACCTCTTGAATGCTTTGCTGCTGCTTAGAAATTTCTTTTTTTTTTTTTTTTTTTTTCAGAGATACAGTCTCGCTTAGTTGCCCAGGCTAGAGTGCAGTGGCTCGATCTCCGCTCACTGTAAGCTCCACCTCCTGGGTTCACGCCATTCTCCTGCCTCAGCCTCCCAAGTAGCCAGGACTACAGGCACCCGCCACCATGCCCAGCTATTTTTTTTTTGTATTTTTTTAGTAGAGACGGGGTTTCACCATGTTAGCCAGGATGGTTGTGATCTCCTGACCTCATGATCTGCCTGCCTTAGCCTCCCAAAGTCCTGGGATTACAGGCATGAGCCACCGTGCCTGGCCACTGCTTAGAAATTTCTTCAACCAGATACCCTAAATCATCTTTCTCAAGTTGAAAGTTCTACAAATCCTCATGGCAGGGGCAAAATGCCACCAGTCTCTTTGCTAAAACATAATAACAGTCATCTTTCCTCCAGTTCCCAACAAGTTCCTCATCTTCATTTGAGACCACCTCATCCTGGACCTTACTGTCCATATCACTATCAGCATTTTGGTCAAAGCCACTGAACAAGTCTCTAGGAAGTTTGAAACTTTCCCACATTTTTCTGTCTTCTGAGCCCTCCAAACTCTTCCAACCTCTGCCTGTTACCCAGTTCCAAAGTTGCGTCCACATTTTCAGGTATCTTTTCAGCAACATCCCACTTCTGGTACCAATTTACTGTATTAGTCCATTTTCATGCTGCTGATAAAGACATACCCAAGACTGAGAAGAAAAAGAGGTTTAATTGGATTTACAGTTCCACATGGCTGGGGGAGGCCTCAGAATCATGGCAGGAGTTGAAAGGCACTTCTTATCTGACAGTGGTAAGAGAAAATGAGGATACAAAAGTGGAAACCCTGATAAAACCATCAAATCTCATGAGACTTATTCACTATCATGAGAACAGTGTGGGGGAAACTGTCACCATGATTTGAATGCTCTCCCACCAGGTCCTTCCCACAACATATGGGAATTATGGGAGTACAATTCAAGATGAGATTTGGGTGGGGACATAGAGCCAGACTATATCAGTGTGCGTGTGAATTTTGGGGTGGCAGAAGACTGTAAATATCTAACAATCCACATTTTTTCTTGCTTTTATATATTTCAAGAAGGCAAGGAAAGTGTAAAATGAAGGAAATATAGTAGTTTCACAAATATCAAAATGAGATAAATAAATCCCTTCTTTAAACAATAAATGTTCAGAACTAAAAAACAACTTCTGTTAACAGCTGTAAATTACTGCTCACTGGTGAAGGGCCATGACAAATTTAGGTATTTAATGTAGTCTTCAGCAATTCTTTTAAAATAAAATACTTATATTTTTGGTTCTGAGGAAAAAAATGCTTTTGGAAAATTTTGCACCTGTCTAGGTCCTAAAGCTGCAATTCTGAGCCATGTTTATTTTAGTAATGAGAAAACTTCAGTAAGTAATTCCTTACATTTTAATGGCTTAGTCAAATGGGATTTCTGGCATTGCATGGTCTCCATATATGAAAAAATATCAATTCCTAGTTATCTTTGAAATAATTGGTAATCATAAAGGATCATATTTGGATCCTGTCTGAATCAAAAGATAAAAGAAATGGCTCTACATATAATCCAATTATACTTGAGCCATTTTGCTAACTTTCTTCTGAATCTCAACAGATGCCTGAATCAATAGCTATTTACACTGGATATTAAAGTACAGAATTATTTCCATGGAAACCTCTTAATCATTATTTTAGACAGAAAAATAAAGACTGTGCTTCAAACCTCAGTTTAATTATATTTCTGATGTAATGAACTTTTAACATAGAATTCAATTTGCATATGTGTGAAGTAGAAAGTGTGATTTATTCTTTGTTGTTAAAAAACTCATTAAATCATGAGTCCATTAATAAAGGTTTTTTTTTTTATAAAATCAGTTTGAAATTTAAAATGAAGTTGGCATTTTCAGTGTCTATCTTAGAAAGGAACATTGACAATTAGAATAGCAAATAAGTTAATTTTTGGTAGCATAAGTTTATAAAAATAAAATACCTGGTATCATTCATAAGATAATTTGGGACAGATAATCTAGATTGAATATTCCCATTCAGAGAAAAAAGTATACACTTTCTTCAGGCATTTGGAAACAAAAGAATCAGTGTACGATTCTAACATTCTAACATCATCTTTGATTATGTGTATGTGATTTTACATTCAGAAATTTTTATGTTGTCATCACATATTGAAAAAGTACTTAGGAAAGTAGGACATATGATTTTGAAAAAAGGTAATGATGGTAGATATAAATGTTTGAAGTATTTCATTGTTTGGAAAGTATAAATAATTTTATGTTTACTTTGTTTAAAATTTACTTTTAAATTTACCTATTTTCCTCTTTGTTTTATCTCCTATATACCTTCCTTCTATTTATCATCCAATTAATCATTCTCTCATTCTTTTTTCTCTACAAACATATATTTACTATTCCTGATTGAAGAAAACCATGTCTGTTCATTTTACACTGCTTACGGCTACCCACGTAAAGGAATAGGTTACATTCTAGTGAGCGGAGAGAGGAAATAAACTAGATAAATAAAATATATAGCAAGTGAGTTAGCGACAGAGATTTATTATAAGGGATTGGCTCTCATGATTTCAGATGCCAGGAAGTCCTAATATCTGCAGCTGGGAAGCTGGAAACCCAGGAGAGCTGATGGTATAGTTTAATCCAAAGATCATCAGGCTCAAGACTCAAGAAGAGCCTGTGTTTCACTTTGAGTTGGAAGGAAGAAAAAGTCTCATGTCTCAGTTTGAAGACAGGCAGAAGGAGTTGCCTTTTATTTGGGGAACGGTTAGTTTTATATTCTATTCAGGTTGTCCTGGGATTGGATGAGACTCACCCACATTAGAAAAAGCAATCGGTTTTACTCAGTCTATAGATTTAAATGTTGAACTCACCCGAAAGCATTCTTATACAAACACCCAGAATAATGCTTGACAAAATATCAGGGGAGCCCCTGACCCTTTCAAGCTGACAGGTAAAATTATCCATCACAACCCTAGTGAGTATATTAAAGAATGCCACTTCTCCTATCCAAAATCAAAGACTTTGGGAAATTTTGGGGCCAGTCGTGACGTATTTTAATGCCTCATTTCTGTGTTCAGAATAGGCTGAAACAATAGAAGGAAAGAGACCAGTAAGAAGGAAGTAAATTTTATGGCAGATGATTGTGACTTAGACAAGTGTGATACTAGTACAAGTGGTGAGAAGAGATCAGATGTAGATATATTTTGGCCATAGATCAGATAGGATGTGTTGATGACTTTGACGTGGAGTATAGAAGAAAAACTGTAGTCAAGTATTTCTTTAATATTTTTGCCTAAGAAATGGGAAAGATTCAGATACTCTTAACTGAAATTGGGAAGAATGTGAAATGAGCTGAATTGAGCTCATTCTATGTTGGGCATATTAGAATCTTAGTTGTCGGTATTTTGAGGCAGGGATGTCTATTAGATATCCAAGGGGAGAGGTTGACTAGGCAACTGAATTTATGAGTCAGCAGTTGGAATCCTCAGCAAATAAACGGTAATTATATACGCCATCTTTCTTTATCTGTTTTGCCTTTACTATGTTAAAGCACCAAAGATCAATATTAGGTGGTAGGCATTAGTTTAGGGTGTAGCATGATGTCAACTTGGGCATAAAAGTTATGCTTTATTTAATCTGTAGATATTGATCACATGTACAATCTCAGCCCATGTTCAAAGATTTCTTTTTGTATCTTATTTTAATGAAAGATTGCAATATTGACAATTGTAAAATAAATATAACAACAGTTATGTATCTTTCCAACATTTCTTCTAAAGTTTTAGCATTTAGCACTTACGGGTATGGAGCCTGGAGAAAACAATGACTACGTAAGTTCTCTGGGTTGATTTTCGTTTCGACTTTTAGCTAGAAATGTAACAGATGTTCATTCATGGCATGTTCACCAAGACCTTATCCTGAAATTTGGATCAAGACTCTGGTTAGTAATAATTTTGTCCACACTTAATCTCTCTCAGGGGCAACTAATAGCAAGAACAGGATTTAGACTTTCTAATCCTGTCTACACTCTGACACCATTAAACGTGGTTAGTAGGATAATACTCAGCAGATTTCTTTTCCGTCTTCTTCCACCACAGTGTCTGTTCTGTAAAACAGCTCATTCTATGAGAGTCACAAAGCCAGATACACGAGGCAATTATTTAAATTCTTCATACCCTAGGGATGGTTCCTGCCTACACTTGGCCTACATTTGGCACCAGAAGAATCATCATTTTCTCCTATGATGGAATTTTCTTGTTAATTGACACAAGTGCTCTCCATGGGGATAGAAAAGTGTTGTGCTGGCATTATTTGAAATAATTGTTTCACTCCAATCTACTAGCTGTCAGTTGTATGAAAATTAAAAGATACATGAATGTTATGCAAATAAATACTCTAGGGGATATTTAGATGCCATACACTTTAATTTTTAATTGGAAGGATTAGAGTGTAGGCAAAGTATGACCTAAAGTAGAGAGTGAGGAAGCACAAAAAAATAATTTTTTTTTCCACCCTGGGTTATGCAACAGGCTTTGCAATCAGAATCTGTCATTCGTTGTGGCCAGGTTTCAAAGATTTAATCTCAGTAGCTCCAAACCTGGTGAGAAATACTGCAGGAATGACCTTTTTGAGGTGATAGTTTGTTAATTGAGAATACTGGCAGTTTTGAATTCTTCAGTTCTGTATAGATATTTCTTGTGTCTTTGCAGAGATGGTTCTGCTGAAAATATTTCTGTTTGTGAGTACAAGGACAATAGACCCTTGACGTTGAGAAGGGAGTCTGAGCAGTTCTTATTGAGATACAAATACTGGGTGGCCCCTGACTCACTGCCAAGCTACTTGATTCTGCCTGCTTAGGGGGCAGCAAATAGCATATGCAATTTAAAATCATGCTTGACATGTATTGTTTTATTTTCTCATAACTACTATGAAATGTAGAAAGTGTATTTTCATCACAAATACCTACATGTCATAGGTGTTGATGTCTCCTTCAAAAGTGCAAACGCTCCGTTGCTAAGCACAGAAATGTAAGTTATTTATTGTGTGTGTGTATATTTGTATAAAGAAGGCACAGGAGTTATGGTGTTTTACTTCGTTGTATATTTTTCATAAGTTTTTTTTTTTTTAGATATCTGTTTCTAGCTTTTTTTTTTGGAAGACCCAGTGATACTTTGGAATTCTTCTATTCTTGATGGTTACTGACCCATTTGTTCAAAGTGATAGATTTTGTCAAAAATTTCTACAGAGAACTCAGTGCTAGAATTTCCTTGTTTTTATTGTTGAATTTTCCAAAGGATGAAATAAGCAGGTCTTTTTCTTGGCATTCTTAAGCCACATATTTATTCTGTAGGCATTTGGAAACTGAGAGCAGATCCTTGCCTGCTTGCTCAAATAGCTAGACTTAGACACTTCACACTGAGCTTTTAATTCTGTAACATAAAATTTTCAATTTCTGAACGTTGGCTAATTCAGGTATACCAACATTCTTTTTCAAAAAGTGAAATCATTCTTTAGGACTATTTGAGATTAGTTATATACCTCTTCAGTTTCTCTAGTGTTAGAGACCTTCTTGACTTGTAAATATTAGCTGAGAATACTTAATTGTACTGCAGACCAGATGAAAAAAAATACAATATTTGTCAATATTAAAAATCGATAAAACACAAGTAAACCCAAAAAGGATAATATAGTGACATAAGTTTCTCTGCCTATCATTTGGTAGTTTCACTCAATCTATCATGGATTTCTTACATTGTTACTGCCTTAGAACATTTTGCCAACTATTTTATGAAAATGATTTCCAGAAATTTTGCAACTTCATGTAAGTGAAGAAAGAATTTGTTTGACATTCATTAACTCTAACTACTTTATTAATGTTTTTTATTTTTTTAAGTGTTTGATATGGCAAAAGAGAACTGTCAATGTTTTTAATTGTTTTTACTGAAGATAAATAAGATTAAACTTAAATAGGTCTTATGTATTTTTGAAACAAAGTTTTAAAAATTTACCAAAGCTAAAAACATTAATCTTCTCGTTCTAAAGAAATTATACAAGTATTTAAAAAAAGTTGTAAGTCAGAGGAAGTCATATATCATGTGAAAATCATGAAATAAGGGGGTAAAATGAGTTTGTTTAAAAAAATGGCGGCTGGGCACCATGGCTCATGCCTGTATTCCCAGCACTCTGGGAGGCCAAGGCTGGCGGATCACTTGAGTTTAGGGGTTCGAGAATAGCCTGGCCAATGTGGTGAAACCCCATCTCTACTAAAAATACAAAAATTAGCCAGGGGTGGTGGCGCTTGCCTGTAATCCCAGCTACTTGGTAGGCTGAGGCAGGAGAATCGCCTGAACCCAGGAGACAGAGGTTGCAGTGAGCCGAGATTGATTGTGCCACTACTCTCCAGCCTGGGCAATAGAGTGAGACTACATTTCAAAAAAAAAGTAAAATGAAAATGTGGATTCAAGCTGGTCCTAGGATAGATGACAGTGCAAGAATAACCTTTCTCAGTTTGATTTTTCCTTCTGCCAAGAGTAATACATTTAATAAAATTTATGAATACTCAAGCACTTAGAAGATGAACACAAGGCAATATGAGGTTTGTATGTATTAATAGCTAAAATCACTAAACAAATTTTCCTAAAACATTTTTGAAGTTACTCTTTATATAGACATATAGCCACCAGCCTTCTTGACATGTTCTCTGGGGTGTCTAACAGATACTCTAAAGACATCTGTTGCTATGTTTGGAAAATAGATTTCCAAAACTAAGCTTATAATTTTTCCTATCTCATGGCCCCCCAAAGTGAAGTATTTCCCAGTAGGTGCTCAGTATTTTCTTCTAGTTCTTCAGGATAGAAACTTTGGCACTACCCTTGCCTTCTTGACTTTTCTTTATCCTATTAAAATACCAATTATTGAGCAAATCGTCTTGGTTTACTTTGAGATTCTATTCAAAATTCAAACACTTTCTTCCATATATACTGTTATCTGTTCAAGACACAATGATTCTCTGCCTGGCTTATTGCAATAGCTTCCTGAATAGTCTACCTTCTCCCATTGTCATCCCACTTTTAGTCTATTCTTATTCAAATAATTAGAGTAATTCTGTTAAAAGAGAAATCAGGTCATATTTTCCCTTGGCTCAAAATCAACTACTGGTTTCTTATTTCAGAATGGAAGCAGAAGTTCAGCTGCAATCTGTGACTCTGTACCCAATGTTCACTGCCCATCACTGTGCTGCTATTACCTCCCTCTGCTTGGATTCACTCCATCCCAGTTACGCTCACACCCTTGCTACTCCTGCACCACATCAGGCATCCTTGTGGAACATTTCCTGTGTGACCTTTTCCTTCTGTCTGAAGCACTCTTTCCCAAACTGACTGCACAGCCGGCTGCCGCATATATATATATATATATATGTACTTTGACTTTTTACCTAAATGTCTTACCTTCTTAGTGAGGATTTTCTTGCCAACTTAATTTTTTATTTTCCTTACTCCACCCCTCACCACCATGTTAACAATCTCATATCTTCTTTCTCTGCTTTTTTTCCCCTAAGCATTCATCTTATTTGCCTTTTTTTTTTTTTTTTTTTTGAGACGGCGTCTTGCTCTGTCGTCCAGGCTGGAGTGCAGTGGTGCAATCTCGGCTCACTGCTAGCTCCGCCTCCCAGATTCATGCCATTCTCCTGCCTCAGCCTCCTGAGTAGCTGGGACTACAGGCGCCCGCCACCATGCCCGGCTAATTTCTTTTGTACTTTTAGTAGAGACAGGGTTTCAGCGTGTTAGTCAGGATGGTCTCGGTCTCCTGACCTTGTGATCCACCCTCCTCGGCCTCCCAAAGTTTTGGGATTACAGACGTGAGCCACTGCTCCCTGCCTCATCTTATTTATCTTTTGGATAATTTTGTTTGTAGTTGTTATTTTTCAGGTTTATTGTTTGTCTCTCTAGTTAGAATTTAGTCTCTGTGAATATAGGACATTTTTTGGCTCTTTAATATTTCTCAGCAATAAGAACAATATTTAGAATGTAGTGGGTATTCCATAAATATTTGTTGAATAAATGGCAAATATCCATTGGTTATAAATTTATGACTTATAGCTAAAGTTATGTCTTGCTTTCAATATGAAAAACATTTTAAAGAAGGTGTGCTGGGGCCATTTTGTGATCTTTTTAGATGTATTGTATAGCCTCACTTTCTCTTTAGATTGCCAAATTAGAACATATATTGGAAATGTAGAAAGTCCGATGACAGTAGATGAGAAAAGTAAGAATTTCTTTTGTTTTTTTTAGTGTAAGCATGCAGAAGAAAAACATATTTTTTGTTTCTTATAATTTGTGTGAGAGGGGAAAATATTACTTTCTGGGAACTGTGAGAATGGTATTTTCAAACGTTTAGAGTTGAATTTAATCTTGTATTTGAATTTCTTAAAATACCCAGAACAAAGCCGATGAACAAAGAATAATAGACTAGATAAGGGAGAATCCATACGTTTTTATTCCTGGACAGTGATAGTGGCTCTCTTAGGCTGGATTACCTAATATCACAGCATGAGACAAAGGTTTTTGTGCAAATAATTTACTTGGGAACATAATCCAGGGGACCAGGAATGAGGAACTGAGTAGAATATTGGGAAGGAGGGAGAGCAGTAGCCAGTTTTGAAAAAACTGATTGCTGGGTTCTACAGGACCTTTAGAGAAGTCTTATTAAAGAGTGCTATGATTTCAATGTGTCTCCTTAAAATTTGAAGTGTTTCCAATGTGACAGTAATAAGAGGTGGGATTTTGTTTGTTTGTTTGTTTGTTTTTTGAGATGGAGTCTCGCTCTGTCGCCCAGGCTAGAGTGCAGTGGCAGAATCTCGGCTCACTGCAAGCTCCGCCTCCTGGGTTCACGCCATTCTCCTGCCTCAGCCTCCCCAGTAGCTGGGACTACAGGCGCCTGCCACCACGCCCGGCTAATTTTTTGTATTTTTAGTAGAGATGGGGTTTCACCCTGTTAGCCAGGATGGTCTGTATCTCCTGACCTCGTGATCTGCAAGAGGTGGGATTTTTAAGAGGTGATGAGGTCACGAGGGGTCCTCCTTCATGAATGGGATTAAGGCCTTTATAAAAGAGGCTTCATGCAGCATCCTTCTCTACCTACTCTCTGCCTTCCACCATGTAAGGACACAGCATTCTTCCCCTGTAGAGGATGCAACATCAAATTTCCATCTTGGAAATGGAGAGCAGCCCTTGCCAGACAACCGAACCTACTGGCACCATAGCATTGGACTTCCCAGCCTCCAAAACTGTGAGAAAATAAATTTCTGATTTTTATAAGTTACCCACTTTCAGGTATTCTGTTATAGCAGCACAAAGGGACTAAAACAAAGACATAGCTCCGGACCTTCTGCCCTGAAAAAAAGGAGTACTCATTTATCTCTAATTCCCCCACACCTTTTGGCTAGGCATTGATCTACAGGGTGATAACTCTCCTGTACTTCCTGTGGTTAAGTGGGAAATGAGAAGTGTGCAGTATTTTGAGAAAAGGCAATGCTAAAAGGCAGCTGTGTGAAACTGGTTGAAGCCTGCGTGGAGTTGGATACTGCAGCAATAGCAGGATTAAAATATGAATCTAAGGGGATTTGCCAGGGACCTTGGGATGTACGTCTATTTCTACCCATACTGGGTAAGATTGTTCTCTCTTAATATTGCGCCATTTCCCAAACAACATTTTTAAAAGGATAATATGATTCTTTATTTTAAAATAATTTGCTTTGTTTATATTTCTAATTTACCAGTGGCAAAGGAAATATTACTAAAATTCTGAAAAAACATATTTTTTTCTGAAAAGGACAGTAGTAACAAAACATATGATAAATGTCTTTCCACATAAAGACCAAGAGCCTTTACTAGTTTCCCTAATGTTAAATATGATTTTGCAGTAATATTTAATTGTTAAATATTAAACCCACCACATTTTATTCTAAGAGACAAACTAATTAATACAGAAATAACCACTCAAGTAGAGCTTACTTACAAAAACATAAAGACACAATGTAAAATCTAAATTATTTGGCAGAAATTGAACTAAAAAGTAGACAAAAGCAGATATTCAATATTTTACATTGTGGTTTTGCTGGCTACTTTTAAAATAGAACTTTAGGCTTTTCAGATATTACTGAAAGTGTGTACCAATATTATTTTCTTAAAAATGTTGGGAGTGAGTATTCCAGGGCAAGAAGTGCCATGTTCCAGTGCCACCAGAGATGAACATATAAATAATTTTGCAATGATACGGAAGCCATGTCATGGCACACGTTAAGCTAGCAAAATGTTTTTCATTACAACTTAAGTAATGAACAGACATTGCTAATATAACTAATTATATGTATACCTTGAACATGATAGTAATATGAAGGACATTTTTTTTCTTTAGTTTCATTGCCTAGATACACAACTAGCTCTGTTTTGTATAAAACTATTAAGAATTACGTTGTCAACAGGCCAGGCGAGCCTGTAATCCCAGCACTATGGGAGGCCGAGGCAGGTGGATCACGAGGTCAGGAGATCGAGACCATCTTGTCTAACACGGTGAAACCCTGTCTCTACTAAAAATACAAAAAATTAGCCAGTTGTGGTGGTGGGCTCCTGTAGTCCCAGCTACTTGGGAGGCTGAGGCAGGAGAATGGCGTGAACCTGGGAGGCAGAGCTTGCAATGAGCTGAGATCACGCCACTGTACTCCAGCCTGGGAGACAGAGTGAAACTCTGTCTCAAAAAAAAAAAAAAAAAGATGTTGTCATCAAGTAAGTCTGTTATAGATGTATGTTCTGATGGTGCAGCTGCAATGACATGACAATATTTTGAGTATACCCAGATTAAGGATTTTCTTCCAGAATGTAAATCAACTTACTGATTTCTTCACCGATCAAGTTTTGCAATGGAAAAAAAAAATCTGCAGATCTAACTAATGTACTTAGTGATACAGCAAAATTTATGAATTATGAAAAGACTAGTGTATTAAATACTATTTTCTTTATTCTAAGAGATAAACCAATTAACAGAAAAAACCTCAATTAGTGCTTATTCATATGATAATATAAATTCTGATTATTAAGAATTGGATTTATGTATGATGTTTACTGTGAGGAAATTTTCTGCCAATAATGTTTGAACTATGCAACAAATTCTTAATGTTTCTACATAAAAGAAAACAGTTGAGACCCAACTTTCAATGTGAATAAATAGTGAACCTGCTTATTTTTCAGATATTTTGGTTTGTTTTCAATGATCTTAAAGCTGCTATGTAAGGAAGCTAGGTCTTTTTTTTTTCCCAATTAAAGATGACATCACAGGGGGAAAAAATCATGTTTGGAAGATGAGAGGATGTACAAATCATTATGACTCATAATTTAAGAACAATAATCCAATGAAGTAATGGCATTTATATCATGCATTTTAAAAAAGTGTCACTGAATATTTTACACATTTGATAGAATGATTTGAATTTTATTTTTCACCAAAAGAAGTTTGAAGCATAGAAAATTCTTGGATCTGATACTTATTTCTATCATGAAAATGTAAGTTAAATTTGACTATGTCTTTATAGTCTCAATTGTTCAAGTTGGCTATTTATGAATTACTAAAGTTAAACTTTGAAAGTATGGTATTACTTACTTCATTTTGGATTAAGTAAAATAAATACCCTGTGATTGATAAAACTGCTTTAAATTTTTTTCTTCCATTCCTGTCAATATGCCTCCTTTACTCTGGTTTTTCTACTATGAGTGTTATTAAAACAGATCATTTAAGCAGTTAAGATAGATGTTTTATTGTCTGTGTGTCGTTTTGTAAGGATATTTGGATGGCTTTGGAAGAGAATAGGCAAATTTTCATAAATTTCTTTTCTACACTTTAGATTTTTTTTTTTTTTTGAGGCAGAGTCTTACTCTGTCTCTCAGTCTGGAGTGCAGTGTTGTGACCTTGGGTCACTACAGCCTCAATTTCCCGGGCCCAGGTGATCCTCTTACCTCAGCTTCTCCAGTAGCTGGGACCACAGGTACATGCCACCATGCCTGGCTAACTTTTTGTATTTTTGGTAGAGATGGGGTTTCACTATGTTGTCCAGGCTGGTCTGAAGCTCCTAGGCTCAAGAAATCCACCTTCCTCGGCCTCCCAAACTGTTGGGATTACAAGTGTGAGTCAACATGCCGGTCTGATTACTTCTTAAATTCTATGCACATTTGGCCTTCCTGTGTCTTCTGGTGGCTTTGCACAATAGTCTCATATCCCATGATAGTTATAAGAATAAAGCCTTAATTTAGGAACTTTCCAGATAATATCACCATAAGATTGTAGGAGCAAGGTAAAGCCCTGCCATAAAATCTTTTTTTTAACTGAGAACTACAGTACTTTTGCTCTAATTTAAGCATTATTAAACATTCCTGGGCATTAGTTCTTACAAGGAAGTGAACATTTTCCAATACACTTAGGGGTAGTAAAATTGGATAATTATCTGCCATTTTTCACTGTATCTATTTCCTTTTTTTGTGACTTCATATACTTCTTTTTGAGTGAGTGGATCATATTGCCCTTTCTCATTGATGTTGACTTGATCCATGATATGTTTTGAATGATGGAAAAGATGTCAGTGGATATGACGTAACTAGAAGCTTGAAAGACACTCATATAGTGTGGGTAGCTCATATTTGCCCTTGTGATTTGCCACAAGAAGAACATGTTCCTAGTAGCTGATGATCCAGGGAGAATGTGGAGATATTTGGAGTGTACCTGACCGCAACCCAAAGCCTGGAGCCAAGTTCAGCTGAGCCCAGGAGAGTTATAGCCAACACACAGAACAGTGTTTTGAAATCCACAGATATGTATAAAGTCACATGTATTTTGGTATGTATGCACATAGCATTATTGCAGCAATAGATAACTAATATAGTATGTTTCTGAAATTTTCAAAAAAATCTTTAATTTCTGGCATTTCTTGGTTTCCTATGACTATCATTTTAAATATTTCTTCCAGAAGTCCTCTATCAGCAGGGTAACACGCAGGTATCATTATAGATCTTCCACATGAGTTCACGTTACTGTGTTCTGATGCATTTGCTTCTTCAGGAACAGCTGTGGCTGTTTTTTTTACCATTCAACA